>NC_000004.12:86648653-86800168 GCF_000001405.40 Homo sapiens | reverse complement strand
GGTTGGGATTCTAGGATAATAATAATTCTGGCCAGGTGCGGTGTGGCTCACGCCTGTAATCCCAGCACTTTGGGAGGCCGAGGTGGGTGGATTGCCTGAGCTCAGGAGTTAGAAACCAGCCTGGCCAACATGGTGAAACCCCATCTCTACTAAAAACAGAAAAAATAGCCAGGCATGGTGGCGCACACTTGTAATCCCAGCTACTTGGGAGGCTGAGGCAGAATAATTGCTTGAATTCAGGAGATGGAGGTTGCAGTGAGCCAAGATTGTGCCACTGTATTCTCCAGCCTGGACGACAGAGAGAGACTCTGTCTCAAAAAAAAAAAAAAAAAAAAAAAAAAAAGTGCCCCTTGACTTCTCCTTCCAGAATGGCAAAATTATGACTTCATATTTCCACTTAAAGTATGTATACATTTATTTGCATGTTTTACTCCAAGCCACTGAGAATTTTAGAATATAACTGTGCAAATATCTGGTAATATAATGAATATTGATTTTTGTCTACATGATTTAACTTTATGTTTAAAAGCAAATACTGTGGCTGGGTGCGGTGGTTCATGCCTGTAATCCCAGCACTTTGGGAAGCTGAGGTAGGTGGATCATCTGAGGTCAGGAGTTCCAGACCAGCCTGGCCAACATGGTGAAACCCTGTCTCTACTAAAAATACAAAAATTAGCTGGGCATGGTGGCACCCGCCTGTAATCCCAGCTACTCGAGGCTGAGGCAGGAGAATTGCTTGAACTGCGGAGGTGGTGGTTGTAGTGAACTGGGGAGGTGGTGGTTGTAGTGAGCCGAGATCGCCCCACTGGACTCCCAGCCTCTGTCTCAAAAAAAGAAAAAAAAAAAAAAAAGCAAATAATGTATACATATGGTAAAACAGCATATCCATATAGTCTGAAAATCACTTAAAAACATTTTTCCAATTCATTATTTTTGAGGAAAAAACTGTCATTAAAATTCTTGCCTTTATCAGAATCTTCATGGTTTGTTCTCTCTATTGGCAACTCATCATTTCCCCATGTTATTTCATCATCATCAGTCTTCTTTTCTTGTGGCTTCTGAATTAAGCTATGAAAACAAAACATATTTGAAACATTTTCTTCATTTTTGTACTCAAATTAAACATGGCCCTGAATGATTTTCTCTACAATTATTATAGTATTTTAAAATAGAATGTCTAAGAAAACCAAAGCCACAATTCTTAAAATTTATTGGTAGATGTAAACAACTGAGATGTAGAATGGTTTAATACAGTTTTAAAATTTATCCTTGGACAGATCCCGTTTTTGAACTTTAAACTGAAGGAGTCCATTTGAGGATGGAGAAGGTGGTGGTTTTATTTCTATCCTTCAACATGGATGAGTGATTACAATTGTACCGGCATATAGCTCTTTCTCCTTCTTTTCAGCATCTGCCCACTACTGCAAAATATGAATGTATCTTAATTTATTTAAAGAAGTCTCTATTGATGGGTATAGCCTTTTGCTACAACAGGAGGCCAGAAGGACACTCCTGTACCTGGGCACTCACTTAATGTAATGAAACCCAGTACAAGTTCTCAATATTTTGGGAGTGCATAACAGATGCCCTCTTTGGTAAGGTGGATGGCTAGGAAAGAGAAACTAGGTAGGAGAACGGTGTTTAGTGCTAAGGTGAAGTGAAAAAGGATTACGTAAAAGCCTGAATACGTTTTTAACTTTCTGATATTCAGGGGGAACAAAGCAGAGTACTTTCATCTGATGACATTAGTATACACCAGGACATGGACTAATGCTCCCAAAATGTCAACAGGGCAGCAATTACGCTGCTTTTATGACAGATGTTTCCCCCTGTTCTAACTCACTGTGGGTGACAACACTAATTTTGCTGGGTTAAAAAGCTCTACATCCATGAAATGTCTGGGAAAGCTTCACTGGAGAGTTCTCCTCTTGTGTGACTATGTTCCTGCTCATTCGTCTCATCAAACAAGGCAATTTTGTGAGCTTCAGTGGGAAATTACCAGGAATCCATCTTAGAGTCCTTATTTGGCTCCTTCTGACTTTTTGTTTCTCAATCTCAAAAAATCTGTAAAGGGCATGCATTTTTCTTCAGTTAATGTAAAAAAGACTGCATTGATATGGTTAAATTTGCAGGACCTTCAGTTTTTTGGGGATTAACTAAATGGCTGGTATCATCACCTACAAAAGTGTGCTAAACTTGATGGAGCTTATGTTAATAAAGTTTATATTTTATATTTTTATCTTTTAACTCTATTTTTTCATGAACTTTTTGAAGTCCCCTCATAGATAAAAACCCTTTCCCTCATATATATTTTTGTAAAAAAAGACCTTACTTTATAATTAGAAATTGTTTAAAAATATTTTTATGGGTTTTAAAACATATTTTGTGGGTTTCTTACTTTTTTTGGTTTCATTTTCTCATTAAAAATTAAAAAATTTTGAAGTATAGAAAAATAGAGAAACTGAAAAATAAATGACCCATAACCCAATAGGTGAAGACAGTCACTATCATGATTGTTGCCACATTTCCATTTAGGGTCACGCTTTCATTCATTTTTTCCAATAGTTAAGAGAATATTGCTTTCTTGAAGCAATAGTATAATAAACACATTTTCACATGTCACTAGAACCTCCTTGTAACAAAAAATTTAAAACTTTTTTTCTTTCTTTTTTTTTTTGAGACAGAGTCTTGCTCTGTTGCTCAGGCTGGAGTACAGTGGCGCGATCTCGGCTCACTGTAACATCCACCTCCTGGGTTCCAGCAATTCTCCTGCCTCAGCCTCCTGAGTAGCTGGGATTACAGGCATGTGTCACCACACCCAGCTAATTTTTATATTTTTAGTAGAGGCAGGGTTTCACCATGTTGGCCAGGCTGGTCTCCAACTCCTGGCCTCAAGTGATCTGCCCATCTCAGCCACCCAAAGTGCTGGGATTACAGGCATGAGACACCATGCCTGGGTTCTTGTATTTTTAGTAGAAAACAGGGTTTCACCATGTTGGCCAGGCTAGTCTTGAACTCCTGACCTCAAGTGATCTGCCCGCCCCAGCCTCCCAAAGCACTGGGATTACAGGCATGAGCCACCGCACCTGGCCCGAAAATTTTAAAAATTCTTAATATTCAACCATAGTTTTATAATCTACTCAACTATGCTTATTTTATACTGGAAAACAAATGGAAATCTTCAGAGCATTTATAGATAGACAGAAGCATTATGGATACTTTGAAAATTATTTTCTCACCTTTCACTTTTTACTTTTTCTTCACAATATTCTTCACAGCCATTCATTTTGGTGGCCTACAATAAAAATATATAAGAATCAAATCAGCCCATTGTAACAAAAAAAATCGCATACTATTTTTTTCCTGTTAGTTATTTCCTATATTTACTGTTATTGTTCATCCTTATATTACAAAGACACATATGACATTCAATTAATACACTCCAAACAGTGGCTGAGGCATCAGTGGCCCAACAGTCTTTGCTGCTCCCACTTAGGTAACTTCACACTCATCTTGGCTTTTCATTTTTTTAAAGAGATGGAGTCTGTTGCCTGGGCTAGAGTCCAGTGGTACAATCATGACTCATGTAACCTCAAACTCTTGGGCTCAAGCAATCCTCCTGCCTCAGCCTCCTGAGTAGCTAGGGACTACAGGTGCATGTCACCATGCCCAGGTAATTAAAAATTTTTTTTTTTCTGTAGAGATGGGATCTCACTATGTTGCCCAGGCTGGTCTTAAACTCCTAGCCTTGAGCTACTCTCCTGCCTCAGCCTCCCAAAGTGTTGGGATTACAGGTGTGAGCCACTGAAGCCAGCCTGGCCTTCATTTCTTATATTAAAAATATTAATAGGAAAGAGACAAAGATGAAAAAGATGAAAGTGTGAATTAATGATTATTTAGATATGCACATTTGGTATGTGCTTTTCTACTTCAATTTTAAAATCTAAAAAAAGCTTCAAGAAAATCTTAGTAGTTTCAAATATGTTAGATTATAATATATTGCCCCTTTATCATTAAAGATTAGTCAACTCATACTTTAACTGAGTATGGTGTGTTTCAGAGATTCAAATACTGCAGCAGGAGCAGTTTGCTACAATTAGAAAGAAATGCCAAATTGTATTATTTTTTCTATTATACTTTAAGTTCTAGGGTACATGTGCACAACATGCAGGTTTGTTATGTAGGTAGACATGTGCCTTGTTGGTTTGCTGTACCCATCAACTCATCATTTACATTAGGTATTTCTCCTAATGCTATCCCTCCCCCAGGCCCCCAAACCCCAAAAGGCCCTGGTGTGTGACATTCCCCGCCCTGTGTCCATGTGTTCTCATTGTTCAACTCCCACCTATGAGTGAGAACATGTGGTGTTTGGTTTTCTGTCCTTGTGATAGTTTGCTTAGAATGATGGTTTCCAGCTTCATCCATGTCTGTGCAAAGGACATGAACTCATCCTGTTTTATGGCTGCATAGTATTCCATGGTGTATATGTGCCACATTTTCTTTATTCAGTCTATCATCGATGGACATTTGGGTTGGTTTCATGTCTTTGCTATTGTGAACAGTGCTGCAATAAACATACGTGTGCATGTGTCTTTATGGTAGCGTGATTTATAATCCTTTGGGTAGATGCCCAGTAATGTGATCACTGGGTCAAATGGTATTTCTAGTTCTAGATCCTTGAGGAATTGCCACACTGTCTTTCACAAAGGTTGAACTACTTTACACTCCCACCAACAGTGTAAAAGCGTTCCTATTTCTCCACATCCTCTCCAGCATCTGTTGTTTCCTGACTTTTTAACGATTGCCATTCTAACCGGCATGAGATGGTATCTCATTGTGGTTTTGATTTGCATTTCTCTGATGACCAGTGATGATGAGCATTTTTTCATATGTCTGTTGGCTGCATAAATGTCTTCTTTTGAGAAGAGTCTGTTCATATCCTTTGCCCACTTTTTGATGGAATTGCTTTTTTCTTGTAAATTTGTTTAAGTTATTTGTAGATTCAGGATATTAGTCCTTTGTCAGATGGGTAGATTGCAAAAGTTTTCTCCCATTTGGTAGGTTGCCTGTTCACTCTTAATGAGTTTCTTTTGCTGAGCAGAAGCTCTTTAATTAGATCCCATTTGTCAATTTTGGCTTTTGTTGCCATTGCTTTTGTTGTTTTAGTCATGAAGTCTTTGCCCATGCCTATGTCCTGAATAGTACCACCTAGGTTTTCTTCTACGGTTTTTATGGTGTTAGGTCTTACATTTACGTCTTTAATCCATCTTGAGTTAATTTTTGTATACGGCATAAGCAAGGGATCCAGTTTCAGCTTTCTACATATGGCCAGCCAGTTTTCCCAGCACTATTTATTAAATAGGGAATCCTTTCCCCATTGCTTGTTTTTGTCAGGGTTGTCAAAGATCAGATGGCTGTAGATGGGTAGTATTATTTCTAAGGCCTCTGTTCTGTTCCATTGGTCTTTATATCTGTTTTGGTACCAGTACCATGCTGTTTTGGTTACTGTAGCCTTGTAGTATAGTTTGAAGTCAGGTAGTGTGATGCCTCCAGCTTTGTTCTTTTTGCTTAGGATTGTCTTGGCTATGTGGACTCTTTTTGGGTTCCATATGAACTTTAAAGTAGTTTTTTCCTATTCTGGGAAGAAAGTCAGTGGTAGCTTGATGGGGATAGCATTGAATCTATAAATTACTTTGGGCAGTATGGCCATTTTCACGATATTGATTCTTCCTATCCATGAGCATGGAATGTTCTTCCATTTGTTTGTGTCCTCTTTTATTTCGTTGAGCAGTGGTTTGTAGTTCTGCTTGAAGAGGTCCTTCACATCCCTCGTAAGTTGGATTCCTAGGTATTTTATTTTCTTTGTGGTAATTGTGAATGGGAGTTCACACATGATTTGGCTCTGTCTACTGTTGGTGTATATGAATGCTTGCGATTTTTGCACATTGATTTTGTACCCTGAGAGTTTGCTGAAGTTGCTTATCAGCTTAAGGAGATTTTGGACTGAGACGATGGGGTTTTCTAAATATACAATCATGTCATCTGCAAACAGAGACAATTTGACTTTTTGCTAGCAGTCTATTTTGTTGATATTTTCAAAAAACTAGCTCCTGGATTCACTGATTTTTTGAATGGTTTTTTGTGTCTCTATCTCCTTCAGTTCTGCTCTGATCTTAGTTATTTTTTGCCTTCTGCTAGCTTTTGAATGTGTTTGCTCTTGCTTCTCTAGTTCTTTTAATTGTGATGTTAGGCTGTCAAGATCTTTCCTTCTTTCTCTTGTGGGGATTTAGTGCTATAAATTTCCCTCTACACACTGCTTTAAATGTGTCCCAGAGATTCTGGTATGTTGTGTCTTTGTTCTCATTGGTTTCAAAGGACATCTTTATTTCTGCCTTCATTTTGTTATATACCCAGTAGTCATTCAGGAGCAGGTTGTTCAGTTTCCATGTAGTTGTGTGGTTTTGAGTAAGTTTATTAATCCTGAGTTCTAATTTGATTGCACTGTGGTCTGAGAGACAGTTTGTTATAATTTCTGTTCTTTTACATTTGCTGAGTAGTGTTTTACTTCCAATTATGTGGTCAATTTTAGAATAAGTGTGATGTGGTGCTGAGAAGAATGTATATTCTGCTGATTTGGGGTGGAGAGTTCTGTAAATATCTATTACGTCCACTTGGTACAGAGGTGAATTCAAGTCCTGGATATCCCTGTTAACCTTCTGTCTTGTTGACCTGTCTAATATTGACAGTGGGGTGTTAAAGTCTCCCATTATTATTGTGTAGGAGTCCAAGTCTCTTTGTAGGTCTCTAAAGATTTGCTTTATGAATCTGGGTGCTCCTGTATTGGGTGCACATATATTTAGGATAGTTAGTTCTTCCTGTTGATTTGATACCTTTACCATTATATAGTGGCCTTGTCTTTTTTGATCTTTGTTGGTTTAAAGTCTGTTTTATCAGAGACTAGGATTGCAACCCCTGCTTTTTTTGCTTTCCATTGGCTTGGTAGATCTTCCCCCATCCCTTTATTTTGAGCCTATGCACGTCATTGCACATGAGATGGGTCTCCTGAATACAGCACACCAATGGGTCTTGACTCTTTATCCAATTGCCAGTCTGTGTCTTTTAATTGGGGCATTTAGCCCATACACACTTACGGTTAATATTGTTATGTGTGAATTTGATCTTGTCATTATGATGTTAGCTCGTTATTTTGCCTGTTAATTGATGCAGTTTCTTCACAGCATCGATAGTCTTTACCACTTGGTATGTTTTTGCAGTGGCTGGTACTGGATGTTCCTTTCCATGTTTAGTGCTTCCTTCAGGAGTTCTTGTTAGGCAGGCCTGGTGGTGACAAAATCTGTTAGCATTTGCTTGTCTGCAAAGGATTTTATTTCTCCTTCACTTATGAAGCTTAGTTTGGCTGGATATGAGATTCTGAGTTGAACATTCTTTCCTTTAAGAATGTTGAATATTGGCCTCCACTCTCTTCTGGCTTGTAGGCTTTCTGCTGAGAGATCGCTGTTATTCTGATGGGCTTCCCTTTGTGGGCAACCTGACCTTTCTCTCTGGCTGCACACTTAACATTTTTTCCTTCATTGCACCCTTGGTGAATCTGACAATTATGTGTCTTGGGGTTGCTCTTTTCAAGGAGTATCTTTGTGGTGTTCTCTGTATTTCCTGAATTTGAATGTTGGCCTGCCTTGCTAGGTTAGTGAAGTTCTCCTGGATAATATCCTGAAGAGTGTTTTCTAACTTGGTTCCATTCTGCCTGTCCTTTCCGGTACACCAATCAAATGTAGATTTGGTCTTTTCACACAGTCCCATATTTCTAAGAGCATTTGTTCATTTCTTTTCACTCTTTTTTCTCTAATCTTGTCTTCTTGCTTTATTTCATTAATTTGATCTTCAATCACTGATATCCTTTCTTCTACTTGATCGAATCGGCGATTGAAGCTTGTGCATGTGTCATGAAGTTCTCGTGCTGTGGTTTTCAGCTTCATCAGGTCATTTAAGGTCTTCTCTACACTGTTTATTCTAGTTAGCCATTCATCTAACCTTTTTTTCAAGGTTTTTAGCTTTCTTGCGACTTGTTAGAACATGCTCCTTTTGCCTGGGAAAGTTTGTTATTACCGACCTTCTGAAGTCTATTTCTGTCAACTTGTCAAACTCATCCTCTGTCCAGTTTTGTTCCCTTGCTGGCAAGGAGCTGCGATCCTTTGGAGGAGAAGAGGCACTCTGGTTTTTGGAATTTTCTGCTTTTCTGCTCTGGTTTCTCCCCATCTTTGTGGTTTTATCTACCTTTGGTCTTAGATGTTGGTGACCTACAGATAGGGTTTTGGTGTGGATGTCCTTTTTGTTGATGTTGATGCTATTCCTTTCTGTTTGTTAGTTTCCCTTCTAACAGGCCCCTCAGCTGCAGGTCTGTTGGAGTTTGCTGGAGGTCCACTCCAGACCCTGTTTGCCTGGGTATCACCAGCGGAGGCTGCAGAACAGCAAATATTGCTGCCTGATGCTTCCTCTGGAAGCTTCATCCCAGAGGGGCACCCGCCTGTTTGAGGTGTCTGTCGGCCCCTCCTGGGAGATGTCTCCCAGTCAGGCTACACGGGGATCAGGGACCCACTTGAGGAGGCAGTCTGTCCATTCTCAGAGTTCGAACGCCATGCTGGGAGAACCATTGCTCTCTTCAGAGTTGTCAGACAGGGACATTTAAGTCTGGAGAAGCTGTCTGCTTCCTTTTGTTCTGCTCTGCCCTGCCCCCAGAGGTGGAATCTAGAGAGGCAGTAGGCCTTGCTGAGTTGCGGTGGGCTCTGCCCTGTTCAAGCTTCCCGGCCGCTTTGTTTACACTGTGAGCTACTCAAGCCTCAGCAATGGTGGATGCCCCCCACTGGTCAAGCTGCAGTGTCACAGGTTGATCTCAGACTGCTGCGCTGGCAGTGAGCAAGGCTCCGTGGGCTTGGGACCCGCTGAGCCAGACATGGGACAGTATCTCCTGGTCTGCTGGTTGCTGGGACTGTGGGAAAAGCACAGTGTTTGGTCAGGGGTATACCATTTCTCCAGGTACAGTCTGTCATGGCTTTGCTTGGCTAGGAAAGGGAAATCCCCTGACACCTTGTGCTTCCCGTGTGAGGCGACGCCCCACCCTGCTTCAGCCCACCCTCTGTAGGCTGCACCCACTGTCCAACGAGTCCCATTGAGATGAACCAGGCACCTCAGTTGGAAATGCAGAAATCACCTGTCTTCTGCGTCGATTTCGTTGGGAGTGGCAGACTGGAGCTGTTCCTATTCGGTCATTTTGGAAGTGACCACCCCCAAATTGTATTCTTAAATGGTCGGTAAATTATACAATTGAATCTTTATCAGGACAAATTTTCTTAACAAATAGGAAATTCCCTTGAAGGCCCTGAATTATCTGGCCCCTGTCTACTTTTATAATCTCCCCTTTACCCAGTGGCTTCAAATTCATGGGTCTTTCAGTTCTTCAAAATCACTCATCTCTTCCTACCACAAAGCCCTTCTAAGGGTGAATCCTTACTAAAAAATTCAGCATTGTGTCTTCTCCTCCTGAAGATGTTTTCTATCCACCCAATCTAAAGCAGGTTTCCTTGGTTATTCTTTTTGTGTGTGTGTGTGTGTGGCACTTAAAAACAACAAACAAACTTCACAGACCTTAACACAACTTGTAATTACATATCTATTTGTGTGTTTGATTTTTTCTCCTTTCCTCTCCATCATTAAGCTCTACCAAGGCAGGAATCATGTCGATCTGTTCACCACTGTGTGCCCACACACACTTATGTCTGTGACATAGGTTATTTCATCCATTTAATAAAAATGACACCTGTAATATGACCTTTCAGTTACAGACTTTGTAGAGTTAAAAAGTACCATAATTAAATTACCCTGATAATAATTTCAATTTAGTTGATGTAAATGTAGAAGTTCTACAGTAGAAGAAAAAAGGTTTTAATCCACTGTCAACTAAAAGGAAACTCATCTCTTTCGAGAAGCTGCTCATTTTAGTCTGGATTAAAATTTTTTTCCAACTAAAGTCATTTGGATTTCTTATTCCCCATTACAATCCTGGTCTAAGAATATAGTATGTGTATAATGATTTTAGAAAGTACAAAGCCTTTTATAAGAGTTAAGTGCTATTATAAATATGAAAATTTTAATAACACAATTATTAAATGAAAATGGTGAGGTAAAGCTCAATTAGAAATAAGTTACAGTGGGGCAACCTGCTTGGGTCCCCTTCCACACTGTGTGTGGAAGCTTTGTTCTTTTGCCCTTCACAATAAATCTTGCTGTTACTCAAAAAAAAAAAAAAAAGCTACAGTGATACCTGTATTAACCAATTACCACTATTTTTGTAAAGTTCACTTGTGTATGGGGGAGGGTTGCGTTAAGAAGATTGGCCTTCAGTTTCTTGTCACTATGGACTGAAGGACCTTTGGAAGAGGAGGCAGCTGTGGTACTGCCTCACTGAATATATTTAAGATTTTTTTTTATCGTGGTCAGCCCCTTTGAAGGTTATTTTACAATCCTAGTGCTCAAGGAATCCAGATCCAGTAACTTGAGAGTAGAGGAGACATCTCCTTGATCTAGGACGAACTACCTAATTTGTAGTGCCAAGAGTCACATGCAAATAAGGTATCTCTTGTTAAAAACTTACTAAGAACTTCAAGTTGGTGATAGCACAGCACTATAGCATATTAGGAGTAGGAGGCTCTTACAAGCACAGGGTTCTGTGTGATTGCACTGGTTGAATGCCCATAAAGCCAGTCCTAAGATCCAACCAGTCAAGCAGGATTATCCTCAGGTGATGGAGAGTCACTAAAAGTTTTTGCCTTGTTTTTGCTTAAGAAATTAAAAACACTACATAAGAAGACAATGTTTGAAGAAATTAAAGCCATTAAAAAATAACCAGAATTAGAAAGCATATTGATCCATTTCAGTGGCAAGAGATGTGGAAAGATCAAATTCCTTGGCATGGCATGTAAGTCACTTCATGAACTAATACCTTGCCTATCTTTTTAGGTTTAGCTTTCAAGACACCCTGTGATACCCTACTCGCAATGACTTAGTGTCCTGAATGTTCCAGGCTCATCTATGCCTTCATTCCTCTGCTAAAGCAGCTCCACGGTATGTATGGAATGCTCTTTCCTAGCTTAACTATCAAATACCTTTAAGATGCTAATTCTTTAGAAAGCTTTAATAACTTTATCCACCTACTCCTGTGTAGCCCCTACCATTTCCCCCCTTCTTTGTAGGTCCCACTGAACTCCATATAAACATTTAACAGAATATGTTTCTATAGCTTTTTAAAAATTATTTACTTATTTACATGTGTACTTCCCTCAAGCTGACTACTAGACTGGACAAGCAAATTTAGGACAGAAACCCTAACACCTCTTCTTACCCTATTATCCCCAGCAAAATTAGTCAGATGAGTTCAATAGCTGAATGGTTTTGAAACTGTAGACAATAATTTATAGTAATGTATACGATTAGCATTCATTCTTTCATTCTTAAATGAGACACAGGCATTGACCTGAAGTACTTCACTAAGAGGTACCAAAGAGTACAATTACAATACTGAATAAGAAATACAATGAATGTATAAATAGCTATCAGAGGTATAATCTTTCTTCTGTAAGAAGATATTCCTATACTTTTGTAATACCAATGGTTAGCATCTTAACTTTTGCCACATGATAAAACTTTCAAAGTTACAGAATATACTGTTAGAACCAATTCAGTAAATAATATACAATTTGTTTAGGGTGATTTCAAGAACTTACAAAAGATTATTGTCAGAAGTTCTAAATAATTTTTAAAACTAGCCAGTTCTAAAATGTAGGTAATATTCTAGAAATACAAGATGAAACAGAAAACTTTTCCAGAATACCAGCTTGGTCTTCTTTTCAGCTAGGGGAGATTAGTCATATTTGCAAATTTTAAATTTGTCTGCTTATGAATATAATTGCCATAGTGATTTAAACGTGTTCCTAGAATTAGATACAAATAAAATTTTTAAATGTTTTAATCTAAGATCCCTGTTACTCCTTTCCTAAATTTGTTCCCTCATTTTCTTTGCTTTGTTTACCATTATTTAAAACAGATTCTAAAGCAAAAGTCCCATTTATTCAGGAAGCACTAATTTATCTAGCCCAAAATGTATTCTCAATGCATGTATTTGCAGGATCTATCTGTACTCCAGTGGCAAGACAATTATATAGTTCCTAATAATTTGTTTCCTCTTATTGATAAGAAATCTAAAATTCATTAACAGATGGCCAATTTAATAAATTATGGTATAACCTTACAATAAAATGATAGGAAGGCTTTAAAAAGTATGAGGCAAATTTATACGTCTCACATGGAAAGAGGGTAATGATTGTTAAGTGAAAACCAAATTCAGAACCATGTGATAAAACGTATATTAAAAAATTATGTATGTATACAAATATTTATGTTTTGATATGCACAGTGGAAAGGTAGAAATCAAAATTTTTAACAATAGCTACCTCAGATGAATAAGATAAATATGTTTTTAAAAAGGGACTTTTTTTTTTTTTTGAGACAGAATCTCGCTCTTGTTGCCCAGGCTGGAGGGCAATGGCGTGATTTCGGCTCACCGCAACCTCCGTCTGCCAGGTTCAAAGGATTCTCCTGCCTCAGCCTCCCGAGTAGCTGGGATTACAGGCATGTACCACCTTGCCCGGCTAATTTTGTATTTTTAGTAGAGACGGGGTTTCTCCATGTTGGCCAGGCTGGTCTTGAACTCCCAACCTCAGGTGATCCGCCTACCTTGGCCTCCCAGAGTGCTGGGATTACAGGCGTGAGCCACCATGCCCGGCTAGGACTTAACAGTTTTGAAGATTCTGTTGGAAACTTTTTTACAATAAGGATGTAATATTTTCATAATGAAAATAATAAAAAAAAGATAACTTGAAAGAAGTTTTCTGCCATAAAACAGTCATAGCTCAGTATAAATGAGAATCTATATTAACAAGCTTTCCTTACTTTTTTAAAAGAAAAAGCATGTGACATGACTTTTTTTTTTTTGAGACTGAGTCTCGCTCCATTGCCCAGGCTGGAGTGCAACGGCATGATCTCCGCTCAATGCAACCTCTGTCTCCTGGGTCAAGTGATTCTCCTGCCTCAGCCTCCCGAGGGGCTGGGAATACAGGTGTGCGCCACCACATCTGGCTAATTTTTTATATTTTTGGCAGAGACAGGGTTTCACCATGTTGGCCAGGCTGGTCTTGAACTCCTGACCTCAAGTGATCTGCCCTCCTCGGCCTTCCAAAAGTGCTGGGATTACCGCCATGAGCCAACGCGCCCGGCCTACATCACATTTCTGAAATGGCAATTAAAGATTTTTATTTTCTTAGTTAAAAGACATTACAACATACATTTTAAGGGGCATTTTAATATTACTATTAAATATTAATAAAAATGTGATAAAGTCATGACTTAAAATGTTCAGAAAATCTTCTCTAAAGAGCCTATTTTTACTGTAATTATTAATATTCTGATTATATGAAAGAGCATCTTAAGAAAAACCACTAGCGAATGCCACATTTTGAGATATCTAATATTTGTATGATTATTCTTGTAGCTTGAGAAATACATACTTATCAGCCGTAAGCTTCCTTGTATATATACACATTATTTGTAAATATTTAATGAACAGTCATGTATGGATGAGATTGTGTGTAAGTATAAGCATGCATGATAACTAGTGTAAGAACATTCAAACCAGCACAGTTTTAATAATTTTGAAGATATGAAGTAGGAAGACTAAGAAGGATAATGAGGAGAATTATCCCAGAATATTAAGCAAGGTCAGATTTGTATACATAGGGTGATGCTGAGCTTGAAGAACCTGAAATATAATTTATCTACTATTTCATGCTTTTCCTTAGCCTAATATCCCAGAAGATCCTAAGTTTTAAGGTTTTAAAGAATAATTTATAAAGTTTAGCATTACATTTTTGAAAACTAATTGTTTTTTTTTCTATTTTTTTTAATTTGAGAAAATTTGTGTAATGATTCTTTCACTAGGATAGGATGACACTTTAATGTAACACATGAAATTAATCTCCGTTTTCCTCCTAAATTTAATTTTTGAGTAAAACAGGAAAGAATCTCTGATTATTTCACCTTCTGGGTTAAACCCATAATTGTAACAAGCTGTCATATCCTAGGTTGTTTAGGTATTATTGTTACCTCAGTAAAATACTCAGGTAAAGGTGAACCATCGCAGTCTGTATCTTCTGTTCTCTCTTCTGATAACTTCCCATTCATCTTTAATGTACCTGAGAGAGGAATATATAGGCCAAGAGGAATTTATAAAACTATTGAGGAAGTAGAAAAGTTTTCATTTGCCTGCAAAAGAAGGCAGTGTATAAACCAATATCCATAAATAGTTTCAATGTTTTAACTAGAAAAGTTAGGAAGAAATGATCAAGTACATTTTGGTATAAAATTTCTGGTTAAAATTATCTACTAAAATTAAAATGAGAATGGCTGGGGGAAAATGTTTGGACTAACCCTACTAGAAGTAAAAGCCATGATATAAATGATACATTTGGAGATCTCACTAATAAGGTAACCCACTTACAAATATGGAAAATAAAAAAAATAGGAGATAACAAATTCTGTTTTGTTTCTGAAATATTACACATGAATGAGGAACAGAAGAAGAACTAATGCATTACATATTTACTCAAAAAATGCTCCCTAGAGACGTTTTTGTACTCCATAGTATACCAATTTATTCATCTGGTTCACGTACCTGGACCACAGGAGTATCCTGCTGCATTATTTTCGTTTAAAAGATTCTGGGCTTCCTCATCCACAACATCCAGCAGAGACTGGATAACTTCAGCTTCTTGGGAATCATCATAAATGTCATCTTCTTGTATATAAGATTCTTGAAAAATAATAATTTACATGGGGTTTTACTTTAAAAATATTGACACGAGAAAGGGACAAGGTGTTAAACAGAATTTGCTAGGTGCTTTCAAATTTTAAGCAACCAATTTTAAAAGTAGCAATGACTGGAAAAGTAGTTTACACTAATGTGATCCAGTCATTTTTAGTTCTAAAACTACCCTGGCTGCTATGATGGAAGACCACACAAATGCAAATTACAAAGAATAAACTAAAATCAATGTTGGTGATACGGCTTTTCACAAGGCATTAATAATTTAATGTTTATTTTCTTAAATGACTCTCAATGTATTAATTTATGAAAGAAACAAAGTTATGTTACAATGATTAAGGATATAATAGATCAGACAAAACATCCTCAAGATACTTTTTCTAAACTATTAGGTAGCCTGTGAATTGCTACTTCACAAAATACAAGAAACACTGTAAAACACAGCAGCTATCTTTTCAATCATTTAAAAAAAATTAGTCTCAGAGACGAGAATGAATACTGGGACATTTATATATTGTTCTTTTGTTTATTTGACCAATAATCTTTCCCTTTAAAGCTACAGTAACATATAAAGCAAAGAAAAGAGGATACCTATTTTTTTTTAATTACCTGAATTATTAGGGCATTTAGAGTAATTAGATGACTGATTTGGAAAACTACCTTTGGGCAGAGTCAAGTTTGGTGATCCCTTTATCTGATAAGTAGAACATTTTCCTTTGGGGTACGATATTTCATTTATTTCTTCCCCAGCAACCTAAAGCATAAAACCAAAGCAAATCATCAGATAGTATTTTACTAACTTCCAGGATCGGGGGACTGCACATTGTCTCTCTCCTCTTCTTTCTTAGTACAAGATCCATTTTACATCTCTCCACCTTAGATCAGTGTTTGAAAGGAAATATCAGTGCAATTAAATGTGCATAGGGCATGGGGCTTCCCATCATTAAATATATCTGGAAATACTAGGTGAAACAACATTAACTCAAAATTTTTATTCCAGGAATTTTCACAGTCCTTGCTAATATAAACTTTGAGTTGCCAAAAGATAACTCTATTATGTAGTACTTCTTAAAATATCTGACTGTAGACATCTCTTTTTTGAAGCAATTTTATAAGACTTGTCTTTCATACAATTTTAAAAAAGTTTAATAGGACTATTAAAGCTTAGAAGTTGAGGGAAAGAGAAAATACCAACTTTTCAAGTACTTGTGAGTGTATTACATGGATATAGTCTCCAATTTAGTGACCTGATAATCTATTAGGTATAAAGATTTTCAAATCTAGTCTAAGTCTCATATAAATTTAAGAAAAATAATGAATTCATAACAATAGAATAATTATTGAATAGAATGTAAATTTTGAATGCAATGTTCAACTGTAAAGCACTTCATGGAGCATAGCCTATCAAAAGAAAAATCACTTGAAAAAAATGCAAAAATAAATGCTTGGAATAAATTAAAATAATTTTATACAAATAAAAGGTTGTGCTTTGCTCTCAAGGTTTCACTCATTCTATTAAGATAAAAAGTACACATGGTAGATGCAATAGAATTTTAAAAAATAAATAGTGGTAATATAATATCAAAAAGCATCACTGGATTATGAAACTCCATTCTCAATGAGAAATTAATAGTATAGATATTAGCATTCAAGGACACAGTATTGTTTGGGAGACTTCCTGGAAGATTTTAACTCCAACCAAAAAATGCTGGCAGCCATGAACAGCAAAAGTCCTGGTTTCTAGGGTTTTATGTTAATTTCACAAAAACTCAACTCTTCTTTCTTTCAACAACATACTGATTACTTAAAAAGAAGAGCACTATACAGTGTGAATATTACTAGAAATACATGAAAATTCAGTTGCTTTGGCTATGTGAAATTGAAGACATTCTGAATAAACAGAGAATAGTGAGTGTTGCTGTAGCTCAATTTCAACACATACAAATAACAAAAAATTTTTGCTTTTGTGTCTCAATCATTACTACCTTAAAATGTTCTGCTGTAATTATCTTTTCATGGCTTGCTAGACCAAATCACAAGTGTGAGACAACATAATGAAATGAAAGGTGTAGAATTTTGGAATTCTGGTCATGAAATTATTTTTCTCCTCCCACACTAAAGCCAGCTCATGTTGACATAATAAGACTTTCGGATTAATAAAAGAGCAATCCCTCAGCGCTGTATTTTACATGGAAAGCCATTCCATATTGAAGTTCAGAACATATTGTATGGGATGCATGTGGAATAAAACAATTCCATGAAATGAAGATCTAGCTCTGATCACTGTAGAAATGTATATTACATACCAGGAAGAAAACCACAAAAAGGGATGTTAGCCAAATGGGCATAAAAGTAGACTTAAAAAGAGCATGAAATGGAATTTAACTATGTATTAGTTTTGTTTAGTCACCCCTAGATTTCTCTGTGCTAATCTTAAATGATTAAAGCTCTCTCATTTAATCATTTGGTAAAGCATTTTCTAAGTCTTTCAAAAGCAAGTAAACCTACTTTTTATTTATTTATTTTTTTGCTACTTCTGTTTTTTCCTCACTGATTGCACAGATTTGAACTTGAAGGTTACTACTCGCCAAAAATAGCCCAAAGGAACAATTCCACTCTTAATTATATTATTCTTCTCTTCCCATGGTCTAAGAGACAATCAAAAGAATTTTACACATTAATAAGAAAAATCTCCGCACTAAAGTTATCTATTTAACTGGTTAGTGTATTTAAAAGCTGAGTGTGTGCTAAATGATGTACGGTTACCTATGTGAGGCTCTATGTTGTATGATTTACTTAGCAAGGCCTATTAGTTCAGTAAAATATAGCCTTACTATTAATATGAATATCTAAAGAAGACAAATATTTAAATATGAAATCAGTTTGGTTCAAAACACAAACATGCAGTTCCTCAGATAAGGAGGTATGACATGAAAGAGGGTGGGCTTTTTCTTACCGTGGAGAATGAATCATTAGGAGTGAGGGCAGGCTGGCTGCAAGACCCCACACTGTAGGAACCTGAAAGGACAATATAGGAAGTAAGGGGATGAGCCAATCCAAACCACAAGAGGGACATCAAAATAATTAAAGAAAACTCACATTTCTGGGATGTTGTTATTTTTATTAGTACACAAAAATAATTCATATTACAAAATGATTAAAAACCAAATAAATGGAATAATATTTGATTCCAAACCTCTAATATTTTTGGGTTTATCCCAAGGAAAAAGCTAATTTCTTTTTCTTTTTTTTTTTTTTCGACAGAGTCATGCTCTGTTGCCAGGCTGGAGTGCAGTGGTGCGATCTCGGCTCACTGCAACCTCTGACTCCCTGGTTCAAGCGATTCTCCTGCCTCAGCCTCCCAAGTATCTGGGATTACAGGTGTGTGCCACCATGCCCAGCTAATTTTCATATTTTTAGTAGAGACGGGGTTTCACCATGTTGGCCAGGATGGTCTTGATCTCCTGACCTCGTGATCTGCCCGCCTCGGCCTCGCAAAGTGCTGGGATTACAGGTGTGAGGAAAAAGCTAATTTCTTAAAAGAAAATAGTTCACATCAAAGCTCAGTTTGGGCTGAATGGTTCATGTGATACACTGATTATAATTTTTCGCACTGAATGGGTGATCCATCACAGGTGCTTAACTATGTTCACTTTACTATTTAAAAGAAGGTAGTAAGCTTTTTAAAGTCTGATTTCAAAAAGACTATCAATTCAACACAGGAAAATAAATTATGGATAAAACAGAAAAGAACTTTTAATGTATTTTTAAACCAAATGTTAATTTTAATTCTTAGCTATCATTACAAAAATTCAATATATTAAAAAAGGAGATTATATTTCACTTACAGCTAAAACATCACATATTTAAATATAACTTCATTCATTAAATTATATTTTCAAGAGACTGAGAAAAATACGGTAGAGTTTGGAAAACTTTATAACAAAACAAAGAAAGAAACAAATATAGGTAAATACATTTAAGAACCTCTATTTGGGAATGACCCTGAAATAATTCTGCCTAGAAAGATAAAAGTTGAGATGGAATTTTTATAGACAAGTCTTTAGAATTCTGTGGATGATGTTACAAAGAGTCCAAGAATGGATTTTAATATTCCTTGCAAGAAAAATATTATTAAATTTCTAAGAAAAATAAAAAAGTATACCAATAATACACCACCGGTTCAAAACAATCATATTGGCAGAGTATGAAACATAATAGTTGTAATCTCTTTCTCCTGTTCCCCTAAATGCTTCCTTCCCGTTTGTCCCACATAACCACTGAGCTGCTGTCACTATAATTTGCATTGTCTACAACTGTGTAATAGAATCATACAGTATGAACTATTTCTCTTATGCTCTGGCTTATTTAATTCAGAACATTTATTTTGAGTTTATTTTAATTATTTTTTTGCTTGTATCAATAGTCCATTCCTTTTTATTGCTGTGTAGCTTTTCATTGTTTGGATATATTACAACCAGTTTTTCAGTTCAACAGTTTTTGGACATTTGAGTTGTTTCAAATTTTGGCTACTACAAGTAAGTGCTAGAAACATTTCTGTCCAAGTTTTTATGTAGAATATAGGCTTACTTTCTTCAAGTGAACAGCTGGCAGTGAAAAAGCTGGATTATATTTTAGGTGTAAGTTATAATTTTTAAGAAATTGTCAACCTGTTTTCCAAAATGGATGTGCCATTTTACATTCCCATTACCGTAGGAGAGTACAGTAAAATGAATATATCCTTACCATTGCCTTTGGTTGACTTTGGAGCTGAAACAGCAGACCTCTTTGAGCTGGGGACCACTGGAAGATCATTTCTGTGTTGTAAAAAAAGACAACTGTAAATTGTCTTGGACATTGTAGCCTTGACCTCCCAGGCCCAAGCAATCCTCCTGGCCTCAAGCAATGCTCCCACCTCAGCCTCCCAAGGAGCTGGGACCACAGGCATGTGCCACCATGCCCAGCTATTTTTTTGTATTTTTTGTAGAGATGGGGTTTTTTCATGTTGCCCAGGCTGGTCTCGAACTCCTGAGTTCAAGCAATCCACCTGCCTAGGCCTCCCAAAGTGCTGAGATTACAGGTGTGAGCCACCGTGACTGGCCCGGGAGATATTCTTGACCCAAAAAAGATTAAGAATCACTTCTTTACGTAGGTTTTCTCTGGGCTTCAGTTTAACATATCACCCTATTTCCCCTTTTATTTAAAACACTGCTAATATTCATTATCTAATAACTCGGTTCACTGTCACTTAGTCAATAGTTTAAAGATAACTTAGAAATCACAGTTCATTAAGTTTTATATATCTAAAGCCCTTGATACGTGTTTTTCTTTTAAATTAAAGAGAAAATCTAGATGAAGTATTTCTATTCAAAGGATTATAAGAATGGTACCACCCAAAGTACAAAACAGCCAAAAAGATAGCACCTCAGAAATAGAAGATTAGTATGCAATCTTATTGTTGCTGATAATTGAGAGAAGAGGGGAGTTGCCTAAGGTGTACAGTATTGGGAGAGGCAATATACTTAAAGTTCTGAGTACCCCTGTATGTTCTTGCTGACTAGCCCCAAAATGCAAGGTCCTGACCTCTTTTTATCTGGGCCGTTTCTTAAGGTTGTATCTGCAGTGTGCAACCATGAAGGATGTGGTAACTTCTCTCCCCCAACAAAAAACAGGCTTTCTTACAGACTGCTACAAAATGGTGGGTTCCCAAGGCTCTTCTCATAGCATTCCTCTCCTATAATACAACCTATTGCATGTGTACAAATCCACAGGCCCACATACATCATTTTTTTTTTTTTTTTGGAGACGGAGTCTTGCTCTGTCACCCAGGCTGGAGTGCAGTGGCGCTATCTCGGCTCACTGCAAGCTCCACCTCCCGGGTTCACGCCATTCTCCTGCCTTAGCCTCCCGAGTAGCTGGGACTACAGGCGCCCGCCACCACGCCCGGCTAAGATTTTTTGTATTTTTAGTAGAGACGGGGTTTCACCGTAGAGGAAACTGGCATTGCAGTCTGGTGGTATAATGGCTTGTCCACATAAACCAGTACATGTTCATCCTTTAGTGCAAAAAGCCCTAATGGCATGTACCCTATTAAAATTCAGGACATCTCCAATATTATCTCTGTTTTTCTTTGTCATCTTTTTTTTTTTTTTTTTAAAGAAACATTTTCAAGGTTTGTCCAAAAGAAGGCCATATAGGTTCTTGGCTAGCGGAAGACAATTCAGAACAGCTGTTGCACACTTGGACTATCACCTTCTCCAGGCTGGCAGTTGA
Organism: Homo sapiens; assembly: GCF_000001405.40. NCBI lineage: Eukaryota > Metazoa > Chordata > Mammalia > Primates > Hominidae > Homo > Homo sapiens. The sequence continues at coordinate 86,778,945 of NC_000004.12, read as the reverse complement.
TATCTTTTTTTTTTCCAACTCATTTTTATTAAAAAAATAAAAAAAAATGCTCCAACTATCAGTTTTACAAAATCTCTAAGGGAAACACAAGAGCAAGGTGCTGAGGTAAAAAACACCTGAGGTAGCTTTTTTTGTGTGTTTTTCTCGTTAAAAAAATCTGTAAATTTAACGCCCCGGGCCAACAACCTTGGTAAATTTCTACTTTCCTCCACTTTTTTTTAAAGAAAGAAATCATTTTGCTGAATATTGATGGCTTATACACCAAAATGCAAAAAGACAAAATACGTGCTTTCATTGTGGAATTTATTCTTTGTTTGGTTGATTGGTTGGTTTGATGGGTTCCTGTTTTCCTCTTCCAAAACGCTAGGACAAGTACCATTGACTCTTGTTCTTTTGAGTAACCAAGTGTAAGTTGAAGCTGGTTTGTGTGTTTTGCTTTTGTTCCTTTTGTGTGATGTGATACCAGGCACTGCTTTGCCTGGGTGGGCGGGGGGAGGTGCGTCACATACATCATTTTTACGGGACTTGGAAGACGTGGAACTGACACTAATGCCATGCTCATGCTGCTTGCTATGCATTAGTAATAGTCTTTTATCTCTGATTCAGGAGTTTTATGTCTTCTGCCAGTATCCATGTAACAAAGACAGGCTAGCTTATTAGCTTGCAAGTACAGTAAAATCCTAAACCCTTTACAGTTCCCTTTATGGAAGGAAGTCATAAACCAAGGAGTATGAGGAGTCTCTAGAAGGTGGACATACAGATAATTACCACAAGTATACATCACTCCATTATTGCTACCCTATGGACTTTAATAAAAGAGGGTAGATAAACACAATGAAGAGAGAGCTAGAAGAAGAACAAAGGAGAAAATAACTGTGACTACCATGACTGTATTTTTGGTGACGACAGCTAAGATAAAAGCAGAAAGACAAAAGAAAATGACTTCAAGGCTGAGCTGAAGAGTGCTCTACTAATTTTGAGGCAAAATATTCAGTTGGACCTAAAGTTAGCAAAAATGTTAATTTTCACAAAAATACTTTCCAGGTTGTTTGAAGACTTCCCTCCCCTCCTAATTAACATTCAAGTAGATCTATGAAAACAATTGTATGCCAATCCAATTTTTAGACATATATGAAGGAATCAAGTCAAAGACTATGTTCAAGGGGAAAAAAAAGTACACAATCTAATTTACAGGTTCAGAAGGAATAAATAAGCTTATCATCAATGATTTGATCAACAAGTTCCCATACTTTAAAAGAAATAATTCACAAACAAAAATGTGAATTTTTCCTTTATATGACTTAAGTCTGTAATCTAGAAAGCCTGGATTCCTGTAAATTGTGGTAGGCAGAATAATCCCCTTCCAAGATGTTTACATTCTAATGATTCTGTTCTAATCCTCAGAACCTCTGAAGATATTACTATTTATATGGCAAAAGAAACTGTATATATGATTAGGTTCAGATTTTGATGTGGGGAGGTTATTTTGGATTATCTGGGTGGGCCCATTATAATCACAGGGGTCCTAATAAGTGAAAGAGGGAGGCAGGAAAGTCTGAGTCACAGAAAGAGACGTGGCAACAGAAGCAGAGGGTGCTGCAGTTCCTAGCTTTGAAGATGGAAGTGAGCCATAAACCAAGGTGTATGGGGAGTCTCTAGAGGGTAGAAAATAGATTTTCTCCTGGGACCTACAGAAGGAATGCAGCCCTGCTGACACCTTGATTTTACCACAGTAAGGCCCATTTTGTATTTCAGACCTTCAGAACGTTAATATAATAAACTTGTGTTGTTTTAAGCCACTAAACTTATAGTAATTTTTTATAATAGCAATAGGAAACTAATACATTTTCTCAATCTGTTTCCATTATAAGTGAAAGAAAAGTTGCTATTAGCATGTTTTATAATGTGAAACTGTTATAAGGTTGAGTAGATGCGGTAGTTCTATGCCTCATGGGTAGCAGGCATGAAGTTCCAGTGGGATTAATCCTATCCCAGCTCTGGGAATGAGCCAGGACTGGCTTAAGCCAATCGATACTGATGGTCCCCAACTTACGATGGTGCAGCTTTATGACACTGTAAAAGTGACATGCATTTGGTAGAAACCATACTTTGAATACTCATACAATCATCCTGTGTTTCATTTCCATTACAGTATTCAATAAATTACATGAGATATTCAACACTTTATTATAAAATAAGCTTTGTGTTAGATGATTTTGTCCAACTGTAGGATAATGTAATGTAAGTAATGTAAAACTGTTTATGGTAGGCTAGGCTAGGCTAATAAGCTGTGATGTTTGGTAGGTTGGGTATTTTAAATGTGGTTTTGACTTATGATATTTTCAATTTACCATGGGTTTACTGGGATGTAACCCCACTGTATGAGGAGCATCTGTATATTCTTATCCCTTGCTTCCAACTTAGAGATTGACCTTAATTTAGGCATAACGCAATTGGTACACAGTACTTGCTTAAATAGTAGTGATTGGTGAGATTTCTGTTTGAAGACTGCTCTAGGTGATGTGATGTGGTATACAGGTGGGAAGTATGAAAATGATGTAGTCTTTTGAAAACTGATAACAGGGAGGAGGAAATAACTAAAAATAGCAAATAAATTAAGGTAGAGCCCTGATCAGATTTCACCTGATGACCACCCTATCTCTGGGACTTCTAAAGTCCAATATAAACCAATAAATTTCGGGCCAGGTAGGGTGGCTCACGCCTGTAATCCCAGCACTTTGGGAGGCCAAGGCGGGTGGATCACCTGAGGTCAGGAGTTCGAGACCAGCCTGGCCAACATGGTGAAACCCCGTCTCTATTAAAAATACAAAAATTAGCCTGGCGTGGTGGCGGGTGCCTGTAATCCCAGCTACCTGGGAGGCTGAGGCAGGAGATCTGCTTGAATCTGGGAGGCGGAGGTTGCAGTGAGCCAAGATTGCACCACCGCACTCCAGCCTGGGCAACAAGAGTGAAACTGTCTAAAAAAGAAAAGAAAACAAAACAAAACAAAAAAACTCCCAATAAATTCCCTTTCTTGTTAAACAAAAGTTGAGTTTTATTTTCTATTACTTGCAAGTGAAAACATCCTAACTGATAAATGTGGTAACCATTCTATTATTCACTTAGTGTTCTCAAAATCGCCTATCAAGAAGTCTGTTTTAAATTTATTAAGTCCTGCCAATTTAGTCTATGAATTACTAATTCAGTAATATATTTTCAGAGAATGAAGTATAATCAATGACCTGAAATGCACACACACGCACAATCAAAACTCATAAATAATTGCAGAGTACCTTGTTGCTTTCAATACCAATGAAGGAAGTGACATGTCTAATGCTCTGTTAACTTCCTCCAAGGTCATTCCTTGTGTGCTGACTCCGTTCACATAATGGATGACATCTAATAGCTGGAGATTACCCTCAATGGCTGCGACGGACCTTGGATTAATATCACTAATATATACCACTTGATAAAGGCTGTCATGACCTCCACATAAGGAAAAACCTTGAAATAATAGAAAATATTTGTTTTCTCAGTCATAAAAGTACTTACTCTTAAGCTAACCAAGAAAATCATATTGTACAAAGTTTGACTTTTCATTACCCAACTCCTCTTTGTTGCACGTTAGTGTTATGTCCGGTAGCAAATGAGGCAACATTGGTATTCTGGGTAATTCTAGAACTCGTCCAATAACTAATCTGACTGTTTTGGATGCAGCCCGGAGCAGATTAACTGCATCTGTATGAGTCATATTAGTAACATCTGTATCATTAACCTACAAAAACAAGAAAGGGGCATGTGAAGATCACAATTTTTAGAAAAGAGAAGCTAAATTGCCAAGAAAATACAATAATCCTCCTAATTTATAATATATATTAGCTAGTAAGAGATTCACAACAGTGATCTCTAATTTATTGGTAATCCCCTTTATTATGGAAATCATAGGCACAACGATCAAGCCATTACAATGAAATAATAATGTTAAATCCCTAACAAATGCATCATTATTTTGCTAATCTAGGAAATTCATCCTCTAAGTAATTTAAACTTTCTGTCCTTGAGACCTAAGATAGCTTGTTTTATGCCTTACTGAGATTAAAGGGACTTTCAAATTTGTAAATGACAAGTTAATGGGTGCAGCACACCAACACGGTTCATGTATACATATGTAACAAACCTGCACGTTGTGCACATGTACCCTAGAACTTAAAGTATAGTAAAAAATATATATATATATATATATAAAATAATTTCCCAAACTGTTAACGATATGAAGGCCTTTACTTTTAAGTGGTGGAAACAGAAAGCATAAACCGAATAGATAAATACAGTATTACAATAATTCAATCTTCTTTTTCTGGCTTGCTCTTTGTCTACATTTACACAAATAATCCATTCCTCTTAAATGTCTCACCTTTATGAGCCGGTCCCCAGGTTTTAGCCTTCCATCACTTTTGGCTGGATCCTGTATGACATCATGAACATAACAACCAATTCTCTGATTGCCTTTGGTTACTGTAAAACCCAGGCTTCCTTTTTCTGATTTAATTAGGGTAATGAGGAGTTCTACTTCCTAAGGGAAAAAAGCAGTAATACTTTTAGGTTGTCTATTCTGCACTATAGACAAACAGAAAGATGACTATCATTTCCCTTAACAGAGGAGAAAGTCAAACCTTAAAAGGTTACTTAACTTGTCCAAGTGAAGAAGTCAAGTCTGTCTGACTCTAGACAGTCTGTCTGATTCTAGACAGACTGTCCCCCCACTGCATCCCACGTAAAAGTTATGTTTAAGCACAACATTATGTTTGTCTAGAGACAGCAGAGACAGAATTTACTCCTGCTTTCTTTCTTATATTTTTAGGATAAATAAGGACACAATAGTGGTTATACTTTGATGATCAAAAAATACTTTCTGGAGGAAAGGTTCAGAAAAAAAATTCATATATTTCTAAACAAATGCAAAGAGCCATATATTTCTAAACAGATGCAAAGAGCCACAACAAAGCTTTTTTTTTGGTAAAAATATGAAGTCTTTCGGTGATTATCACAATCTTATTAATTTTGTTGTATAAATAAAATATACTTTTAAAAGATTTCAAATGAGACACGGAGGTTGTTTACAAGGGTGAAAGATTTCTAAGAAAAATTAAAGATTATTTTTACTCTATTGCTAAGAATGAAACTGAAGATGTAGATGCTGCACACCCCTCATCTCCAATACACACATGCACAATTATAGGCAAAAAAAAAAGGGTAACTGGAAATTTAGCTCCAAAATGTTAACAGTTTTGGGGTAATCAGATTATAGTGGCTTTAATCTTCTTCTCTCCTTAATAATTTTTCTACAATAAACATTTATTACTTGGATAATAAAAGCAGTATTTAAAAAGGCTAACTTTCAATCAATGTAAAGGATATTATACTTGGAAATTTTGTTTCTAAATCTTATTTGTAGGTTTAGAAGTTCTAGGACTATTATTACAATGTAAAGGATTCCATCTGAGCACACAAAAAAAGTGTGGAGGAGAAAAAAAAAATTACATTCAAACTTGGTTAAAAATCAAATAGGTAACTCATCAGAATTTGAGAAGCAGACAAAAATAATATTTACTAAGGGTCTACTCTGTAGCAGATACTATACTACGTGCTTTACATATGTTATTTCATTTAATCTTCACCACAACCCTGTGAGGTTACTTGCTCCATTTTATAGTCAAAGTTACCAAGACTCAGAAGAATTAAGTGATTGGTCCATAGGAGTCTGCCAAATTGTAGCAAGTCAGTGGTAGAGTCAGGATTTATACTCAGGTCTTTTTGCCTTATTTCCTAATTTCTCAGCACAGAAACATACCAGATATGTTATCCATTTATTAGACACACATATGAAGCTATTTTAAAGATAGCTTTTTCCCTAAAGGGAAACTTTATGAACACACCTTCTTTTAAAAAATATGGATTTTTTTTTAAATATAGAGAAAACAACTTACCAGTTCAAAGTCTTCAAGGTGATTTTCCAAGTCATTTTTCAAAGGTGTCCAGTTTTCTTGTCTAGTTGGTTCAGAAATGTGATGTATATGATACTTATCCATCGAACTAGAGGAAGCAGATTCTGATTGGGGTTGATAACTCTGCCCAGGAGCCATATCCGGTGGTAGAGGGGAAGGATTACTACAGAGACAAAGAAGTAAGACTATTTTTAAATACATTTCAATGTCAATATGGTTAGTTTGTGCCAGAAACAGAAAACACTTAACAAATATTCATGTCTGATTTTGATTGAGATCCTAGTTACTTTTTGTATGACTCTGGACTATGAATTTACTCCATATCTGTTAAATGTTAAAATTAACAATAATTTATTCTCTGTCTAGGTTTTTTTTGTTGTTGTTGTTGAGACACGGTCTCACTCTGTTGCCCAGGCTGGAGTGCAGTGGTGAAATCTCGGCTCACTGCAGCCTCTGCCTCCCAGGATCAAGTGATTCTCCTGCCGCAGCCACCCAAGTAGCTGGGATTACAAGTGTGTGCCACCATGCCCAACTAATTTTTGTATTTTTAGTAGAGATGGGATTTTGCCATGTTGCCCAGGCTGGTCTCGAACTCCTGAGCTCAGGCAATCTACCTGCCTTGGCCTCCCAAAATGCTGGGATTACAGACGTGAGCCATCGCGCCGGCCTAGGTTCTATTTTGATGAAGCTCTTTAAGCTGCATAAAGTCAGCAAGATAGGTTAAATAAAATTCTTTTGATTTCTAGTTGTTAATTCAAAGCTGAAGCTAATGTTATCAGAAGCTTAATGTGTGTTTCAACATAATAAGGAAAAGAAGAAAGAAGAATAAAAGTCTGACTCCTGTGGTTATTTTGGATAAAATACAAAGGAAAAAAACTTGAATAAATAAAGTTGGATGTGGATAGATACAAAGACATAACCAAAGAGTAAAATGTATGAATAATTATGCAATGTATTGATGTAGTCCTTCTCTTTGTATGCTTCTATGTTTTCAATCATTTCTTCTTTTCCCCATCTTCTTTGTCTTACCTTTTGCAAACTCTCTGCCCTTATCTCCCCTCTATATTTCTGGTCCCTAGTCTCCCACTGTGTTACTGCCTAAATAAGTCTATTCTGTTTCTGTTTAAGTAGTATGATTAACAGTGAAATACAAATAACTTTCTCAGTTACTAGTAAATATGCTCAAGAGGGAAGAAAGACTCAGGCTGACTGACTAGAGAGCTTATTGGTTTGCTAACTAAAACTATCAGTCACAATAGCTAGACATCCAATAGAGTCATCCTCTGCCTAACCACTGTGAAGGTCACAGATACATACATTTCATTCTTAAGAGAAATGCATGTTGCTGCTACTGCTACTAACAACAACCAGTTGCTTTGAGCGGTTCACATTATATTGATGATACCTGTCCTCAAACTCTGGTTTATTGGGAATTTTCTGAGGATAGTAAAACATGGTACAAATGGTATCTTCTTGACTCTTGGGTGCTTCATGATGACTCTGTGCCTGTGATACCATGTTGCTTAGAGTCTGATGCAAAGCTGAACTCCAGGTCGAATTTGATATGTTTGCTGGAGCTGTCACTAAGTCATCTTCTCCACTCCCACTGCTGTCACTGTAACTGTCTCTTCTGGATGGGGACTTGCACTGTTTTTTGCTTTTGTCTGACATTTCATTTTCATCTGAGCTGGTGCTTTGCTCCACACATGATGGCTGAGAAGAGTCTTTACTGCTGTTTGGAAGTACTTGTGCTGGAGACTGAAGTGGGGTCTGTAATGGACACATTTAAAGAGATTTGTGACCATTCTATGAATTTTAGAAGCATTTATTTGAAAATAAACCATTGAACAACTTTCTACTAAAGTATGCATTGAATTTTCTGATGATAAAAGTAATTTATGTTCAATAGAGAAAATAATATATAAAATAACAGTTAATATTGTACAATTTATACCTTAAGTTAGAACTACAGTAGTATTATATATTTTGTCTCATACTCTCAAAAATTAGGGTTCTACCATAAATATTTTCTTAAGTCCTTAAATATGCTTTAAAACAATTTTAATACCTGTATAATGGTCCAATGGATGGCTATACCTTTATTTCTGCCTTCTCCTTTTATTGGACAGAGTTGTTTCTACCTTTTCATTATTAATAGAAATCTAGAAGAACTTCTTTGTATGTAAATTTTTACCTGAGTTTCTATTACTTTGTAATTTTCTATACTGTCAGAATATAGGCCATTTTTAATAGCCTAATTAAGTATTTCCAAATTGTTTTCTAAAAACTGATACCAACTTATACGCTCATCAAGAGAGTTTCATTCACTTTTTCCTATCTGGTGCCTCAAATCAATGTAGTCCTTTAAAATGCTATTTATAATGCATCTTACAGAAATGTTATTTTCCTATTAAAGAGATTTTTAACCATTGTTTTGCAGATGAGGAATAACAGTTTGTGACCTGCTCAACATAATAACTAGTATCAGTGCCCATTAAAATGCCTGAAGTCAGTACTTGATAAATCCTAGTTAAATAAATTGAATAAATTACTTTGTATTATTATATAAATATGGAATACATTCAAAGAAGTTGTCACATACAAGATAACATGCCTACCTAAAACAAGTAGCTAGGTATGAAACCCAGGAGAACAATTCATGATGAAACCACCACAGCTGAATTAGTTAGTTGCTAAGTTGATATTCTATAAAACTGTAAATTACTTTTCATAAGTCTCACCAAAAGCGCAGTATCAATTTCCGGTAGCACACCAGGTGGAGGTCTGCAGAGAAGCAAGAATACTTCTGGAGCAGTTCCCCTGAGAGCAGATATGACTTCCTGGGGGTACCATGAATGACAAATGAAGGTACAGTTAAACCAGCATTATGAAACCATTCTGAAAGGCCAATCCATCTCATCATTAAAAATGCTATACTCCACATGCTAGGGGCTCACCTGCTGAGATAGTCCTTTCAAAGAGGCTCCATTCACTTTCAAGATAACATCTCCTACATCAATTTTTCCACTTTCTGCTGCTGGCTGTCCAGGAAAGAGCTTTTTAACCCTTACTATGCTGGCATTAATTTGCTCCGGTATAAGATTATCTTCTCGAGAAAAACTGAATCCTAGACCTGAGCTATTTTTAAATAATTTTACCTCAAATGTATTTTCTGGAGAAAAAGATATAAAAAAAATTTAGATATTATTAACATGCTGTGTTTACATAGGAACATACAAACATATATACTTCTAGACACATTTTAAAAGCCCATTTTCCCGTATTTATAGCTCTGTATGTACTTACTGCACTCCAATGGTATACTGAAGCTGTATCTTACAGTCTATTTCCATCATTAAGAAATCTTATCAACTAACTGCATGAACTAAGCTGTTTGATTAGGAAGGAGAGTTCTGAAAGTAGGATTCTGAAAATGGAATTATGCATCAAACTTGTGTGTTTTAAAAGACACTATGGTCAGGCACAGTGGCTCATGCCTATAAACCCCAGTACTTTGGGAGGCCGAAGTAGGAGGGTTGCTTGAACCCAGGAGTTTGAGACCAGCCTGGGCAATACAGTGAGATCCAATCTCTACAAAAACAAAACAAAACAGAGTACGATAACAGACAAAAAAAGGGGAAACTCCACAGAAGGACAGGTATGGGAGAAACTCAGGTATACAGCGTGAGAAAGATGAAAAGAAGAACAAAATAAATGTTAGAGGAGGTTATGTGGAAATAAATTGAAATTGTAATGTTCTGGGGAGGTGTAATTTAACTCAGATAAATTGCAATATTTCAATAAATTTCTTATCAGCTAAATAAATTAAAAGAACAATAACCAGAAAATAATTAAAAAATACATTTAAAGTCTTTGCTCATGGTTGGCTTGGGTGTTTAAAAAAAAAATCTATTTAAAGAAAGAATGATGGGGCTGGGTGTGGTGGCTCACACCTGTAATCCCAGCATTTTGGGAGGCTGAGGAGGGCGGATCACCTGAGGTCAGGAGTTCAAGACCAGTTTGGCCAACATGGTGAAACCCCGTCTGTACTAAAAATACAAAAATTAGCCGCATGTGGCAGTGTGTGCCTATAATCTCAGCTACTCAGGAAGCTGAGGCAGGAGAATAGCTTGAACCCAGGGGCGGAGGTTGCAGTGAGCCAAGATTGCGCCACTGTACTCCAGCCTGGGCAACAGAACGAGACTCTGTTTCAAAAAAAAAAAAAAAAAAAGATGGAAGAAATAAAGAATAAAGAGCAGTATGATAAAATGAGTACATTAATTTTATTTTCATATTCAGGAAAAAATAATATAGTCTGTGTTATTTTTTCTCATTATTTTGGGGACTGATTCAGAGTTGCTAACGTTTGTGTAAAATAAAACAATGACTGTACACCATCACCATCATTTATAAAGTAAAGGAAATATAAACCTCTTAAGAAGACAGAATCTTAAAGGGTACTGGAAAGCCACTGTCATTCTTAATTTTCTTACTACCAATTAGTGATCTGTCCAAAGGCTAGCATAGTTTGTAACAAAGACCACTTTCTGGGCACTACTATGTGAATATCTGCCCAGAGTTTGATTCACAGTTCTTAAAATTAAATTAAATAGAAATACAAAAATCTAAGGGTCAAGGTTTCCCATGGGTTTGAAGGCATCTCAGCATTTGTTTTTCTTTATTTTTTCACTTACCAAATTCTATTTTGAATTTTACAACAATTTAAAGCATTTTTAAAAGACCATAATCATGCATGACTTTATTATCCAAAGTCTTTCAGACCCTATGAGCTGCAAATATGTTTCTGTCTTTATTCAGTATGGTGTGATGTCAGATTATTATTTGTACTTGACAAGAATAATGAACAAAACTAGGGCATTAACTGTAATCCAACATGTAAAAATCAAATTTTGAATAGGCGAGGAATAATTTAAAGGTGAGATTGTAGTCTCCCAAGGCCTGACCTTCAGTGACAAAGCTGTAGTCTTTGACCTGAGTTGTTTTCTTCACTTTTTCTGGGCCTTGACCTTGGGCATTCTGATCTGAAAGGGTACACTGTGGGGTTACCGGGACATGTTCTTTAGATGTTGGAGATTGTCCCTTTTCTAATAACAGATGAACCACCTGGATAAGTAAAATAGCATTTCATTAATTAAGAAGAATGCTAAGAAAATAGATACATTTTCAGGACTTTGTATAGTTAATGGTATAAAATCATTTAAAGTAACTACCAAATTTGGTCCACCAAATGAAGGGGGAGAAAAAAAAAATAGAGGAACAAAAGCAAGGGGTTGAAAGTTCCAAAATCAAGTTTTTATTACATTTCTGTATAGAAAGATAAATGATTAAAAAGAATCTATTATAAATATAATACATGTTAGAAATGTATGATAATGGCCAGGTGGAGTGGCTCATGCTGGTAATCCTAACACTTTGGGAGGCCAAGGTGGGCAGATCACCTGAGGTCAGAAGTTGGAGACCAGCCTGGCCAACATGGTGAAACCCCATCTCTACTAAAAATATAAAAATTAGCCAGGTGTCGTGGTGGGCACCTGTAATCCCAGCTACTTGACAGGCCGAGGCAGGAGAATTGCTTGACTCTGGGAGGCGGAGGTTGCAATGAGCCGAGGTCATGCCATTGCACTCCAGCCTGGGTGACAAGAGCGAAATTCCATCTCAATTAAAAAAAAAAAAAAAAGCCAGGTGTGGTGGCTCACGCCTGTAGTCCCACTGTAGTCCCAGCACTTTGGTAGGCTGGGGCAAGAAGATCACTTCTTGTCTAGGAGTTCGAGACCAGCATGGGCAACATAGGGAGACCCCCCGCCCCCAATCTCTACAAGAAATAAAAAATAAACTAGCCAGGCATGGTGGCACAAGCCTGTAGTCCCAGCTACTTGGGAGACTGAGGCAGGGGGATCACCTGAGCCTGGGAAGTCAAGGTTGCAGTGAGCCGTGATTGCGCCACTGCACTCCAGCCTGGGCCTCACAGCAACACCCTGTCTCAAAACAACAACAAAAACCTCCAAAGACCATTATAGATAATTTGGTTAAACTCCCTAACTCAAAATGTACTTCAACAAAATAAATTTTGTGTTAAGGCTAAAGAATAAGAGTGAAAACCACTAGAAATGAGATGTTTATACAACAAATTTAAAATGCAATTTCCATCCCTCCCCCATCAGATCTCTTTGGTAATGTAAGCGTTAAATGTGACATAGAAAGTCAGCTTCCTCAGTAAAAAATGTCTTGTAATACTTGCATTTCAATTTGGAAGGAAAAATCAACAACCCAGATGGTTATATATATCAGGCTTGGTTTCTTGATTAGCTGACAAATTTAGAGATCTCAATGAGAACTGATGTTATTCACACATTGTTTTGCTCTTCTAAGGTACTGTAAAAGGTTGGTATAATGATCTGTTACCTGTCCTGTATTTCTCAGTGTTTCCACAGCTTGCTTATGGGTGGCTCCTTCTAGACTAACTCCATTGACAGCTAGGACGCGATCACCTAAAAATTAGGCAGTTCAAATCATAAATAAAAATCCTACATGTTCTTTTAAATCTTATGGTCTTATTTCGTATTCATTTGTTTGAGGAGGGACTCAGGCAAATTCTGGAAGAAATTGTGTTACAGAGTTTCTTTAATATGTTATTTAATTTATTCCCCAATCTTATGTCTAATGTTAAGTATATTTTAGAACAGTATCTTTATAAAAATAAATTTAAATCAAGAGAGAAGATAAGTTGAACTATAAATATATAGAGATTGGAGGAAAGTTCCTAGTTAGTCCTTACTAAAAGTGTAGATATCAGGCTGGGCTCAGAGGCTCACGCCTGTAATCCCAACACTTTGGGAGGCCAAAGTGGGGGGATCACCTGAGGTCAGGAGTTCGAGACCAGCCTGGCCAACATGGTGAAAACCTGTCTCTACTAAAAATACAAAAATTAGCCCGGCATGGTGGTGGGCGCCTGTAGTCCCAGCTACTTGGGAGGCTGAGGCACAAGAATCATTTGAACCCAGGAGGCGGAGGTTGCAGTGAACTGAGATCGCACCACTGCACTCCAGCCTGGGTGACAGAGTGAGACTCTGTCTCGAAAAAAAAAAACAACAACAAAAAAAACAAGTGTAGATGACAGTGTTTTTACAGCAATTTGCTTCATAGTACATGTAAAATATGAATGAAAGCACTGTCTAGATATTTTCTTTCCTTTTTAATTTTTTTAACTTCTCACACAATGTTGATGTATAGATATCTTCTGATACTAGAAAATAAGCTGGAAAGAAGAGTTTTTGAAATGGCATCAAAGAGTTTCTTAATGCTACAGTTTTATAATTGAGTATGTTCTTATTTCATATCATGAATTTGAAGGTCAGTTATCAACTTTATAATTTCTTATCTATTTGTTGTAATATTCATACATATAATTCCCACATAATATAAACACTATACCTTTGTGAATTCTACCATCAGACTCTGCTGCTCCCTGGGGAATAACAGCTTTCACATAAATGCCACCATGTCTGACACTCGTATTCACACCTCCCTAAAGAGAAAAAGACAAAATAATATTTTATAACATGAAAAATTTTGCACTCTCTTTCAAATCTCAGGCCTAGAAAGGATTCATTAGCCAAAGCAGTGACATCCCATCAGCATGTGCTGATGTACAGTATATTCATTAGTATACTAATGAGGGATATTATATTCATCAGTATAATTCAAAAATAATTTTATCAAATAGCCTATGCTCACATTCTGACTACCTTAAAGATACATATATTCCTTGGGAACTTCTAATTTTAAGATACTAACATGTTTACAAGGTATTACATATTATGGAGAGTATACAGAAATATACAGTCTTTAATTACTAATAATGTAGGTTAGAGATATATAATCTATGCTCACGTAGAAACTGTCAAATATCTACAAAGCATTACATTAATTTTACAATTTGCAAGTTTTATATTCAGATAAAGCAAGTATTAAATCTATGGAGAAAAAGGTAGTGTTTGTCTAATTTTTTTAAAATCACAGGAAAAAGTGACTAACACAATTTTTAAAATAGTTTTTAGATATGATTCAGTTTTAGAATTTTGGAGGTATTTGATGTGTCCCTTTTGATGCAAAATAATTCAATTAAAAAGTTGACATACAATAGGCTGCTGGAAATTAAAGAAGAGAAAACATTTGAAAACCTTGTCAAACAGTACCGTGACACTTATCCCCAAGCTGTTATCATTTTTAGCCAGTTCAACCTCAAAGATATCTCCAGGCTTAGGAGGTGATGAAGAAAAAGTTTTAAAATTCATCTTGTTGGATGTATTCACTGAAGAGGAAGATTCCTTAACAAAGAAAAACAAACAAAGATTTCTTGTTAGAGTCAAAATGAATTATAATTTTTCTTTTTTTAATTTCTTTTTTTTTAAACCTAGCCCAGGACAAAGCTGGCTAGAATCAAAATGAATTATTACTGAAAGACAAATATGTGTTTTTGGAAAAATTATGAAAAAGCAAGATATTAAAGGATAGAGTATAGTCAAAGAACATAAAGGTTGGAAGAGATCTTAGAGATCATCTAGTCCAATGTATTCATATTTTATGGTTGAGGAAACTGATATCCAGAGATTAAAGAGCTTGCTTCAGGTCAAACTGCTAGATATGGCAGATGGAAACCTATATAGAACCCAGTTCAAACCTGGCTTTTATATAATCCTGGTCCAATGCTTTTTATATTCCTAAATTTACAAATTAGTTTTATTTCCTTTAATAATCAATATATATCAAGCAGTAGCTTTTAACCCAAGCCTCTAAAATGGGATTTCATGTTTACATTACTTATATTTATAAATCCAATAATATAAACATGGGAACAACAGCTAAGCCCTATTTATAAGAGTATAACTCTTATAAGGAATGTTGATTTTTCAGTAAACAAAAGGCGTTAGATTTTTTTCTAAAACTGCTTGTGAATTTGAGTTTAAATTTGTATCATTTCTAGGAATAAGCTACTCTCTTTCTTCCCTTCCTTATCTCTCTCCCTCCCTTCCTCCTTTCCTTCCCTTCTTTCTGTTAGGGTCTGGCTCGATCGCCTGGGCTTCTGGGCTTAAGCGATCCTCCCACCCAGCCTCCCAAGGAGCTAGGACTACAGATACATGCCACCTTGCCTGGATAATTTTTTAAGAAATGTTTTGTAGAGATAGGGTCTCCCTATGTTGCCCAGGCTGATCTTGAACTCCTGGCCTCAAGCAATCCTCCCACCTCTGCTTCCCAAAGTGTTGGGATTATAGATGTGGGTCACTGTGCCCAGCCAGAATGAGCTATTTTCAATGTCGTTATCATCATTCATTCAG
This sequence comes from Homo sapiens, assembly GCF_000001405.40. Classification (NCBI taxonomy): domain Eukaryota; kingdom Metazoa; phylum Chordata; class Mammalia; order Primates; family Hominidae; genus Homo; species Homo sapiens. The sequence continues at coordinate 86,763,584 of NC_000004.12, read as the reverse complement.
AACTTCAGAAGAATTTAGACTATAAATAGTGAATTCAAATGCCCATTATACGAACTATTTAGAAACAATTTTCAGATATTAAAATTCTCTTATTAATACAAACATTAAATATGCCAGAGACAAACAACTGGTAAGAAAACAATCATAATCTGCATATTCCTTCTTTGGGTTATTAGATAGCAAGTTTGCAAAGTCATAGCCATTTAAAGTTATTATCCAAAGCTGTTGATTTCTCTGAAAGTTAGCATCAAATGCAGTAGCAATTAGAAGATATAAACTATTTCTTTTTTCCAGAATAATGAAAGCATCTTGTAGATTATTGTGCTCTGTAACTTATTTGCTGCTATTTTGCTTTGTTAAATGAGAAAACCAAAATATTAAAATTAAACTATGCCTGTTTTGGTGTTTGATGATCCTGACTGCTGGAGTAAGTGGCTTCATCCATGTCTGAATCTCCACGGTCTGAGTAATCAGTTACATCAGAAATGCCTGGCTTTTTAGTTTTGCTTTGGTTACTATCAGTGAAAGTCTCTTTCTCGGTGGCTTTGGATATTACAGATGGGGAAGGGCTGCCATGCTGTGATTCCTGCCAGGTTTGGTCACCTAAATGGCTGGCAAAGAAACCATTGACCTGGCTTTGAGACAAGCTGGCACTCTCAGTCCTGGAATCTTGAGAACTCAGGCTTCCTTCCCGCAGGCCCCCAGATGGCCCAAAGGAGTTCTCCGAGATGTGCCTCAGGGTACCACGTGACCAGTGGTGATCCTTGGAAGAAGAATCTATAGCACTGTCTTGCATGTAGGAAGATTTCTTCATGTAGTTTTTCATCTCATTGGTGAGATGCACAGGAGTAGAAGGCACTAAAAGTCAAAATCCATCAATGAGAGTAACAAGTTAGTGATACACGTGCTTACACACATACACAATGTTTCTTGAAGATTGTTGGAAGGATTTTATAAGGATGACACACAAAACACCATTAGGTCATGTGTTTGGTAGACTTTCTTTGCTTTCTCCTTTGGTCATTCTTGTGACAACCTCTATTGAAATGCATACCCCTTTCACCTTAACTCCCCATTTCCATTCTCCAAGATCCATTTCAAACCAGGCTTCTCTGTGGAGACTCTACTGATTCCACAGATAATTTATACTTTCTTAGTGTCCCACATTCTTTGTCCTTATTAAATAGTTATTTGCACACTTACTTTATATTGACCTACTAGATTGCACTTTTTGGACTCCAAGTGATTATCATGGAAGGCAACTCCAAATTGCTTATATATAGTTCTTATCAAAAGCCACTTTAGGCCAAGCGCAGTGGCTCATGCCTGTAATCCTGTAATCCCGGCACTTTGGGAGGTTGAGGCAGGCAGATCACTTGAGGCCAGGAGTTCGAGACCAGCCTGCCCAACATGGTGAAACCCTGTCTGTACCAAAAATACAAAAATTAGCTGGGCGTGATGGTGTGCACCTGGAGTCCCAGCTGCTCGGGAGGCTGAGGCAGAAGAATCACTTGAACCTGGGAGGCGGAGCCTGCAGTGAGCAGTGATTGTGCTACTGCACTTCAGCCTGGGTGACAGGGCAAGACTGTCTCAAAGAACAAACAAACAAAACGCCACTTGAAAAAGCTTTCTGAAGACACAAACCACCAAAGACACGTGTAAAGGAATTAAAGATGAGAATTTATATGAAATTAAAAGTTTTATGTAGTAATTGACAACAAGGGAAAAATTAAGAGTAATGAGCAACTGGAGAGAAAATATTTGTGACAACAAACAATAAACAAAGAATTAGTATCCCTAATATACAAAGAGTTGCTAAAATTCAACAAAAAAGAGGTTTTCAAAACTCCCACGGAACAAGGGATATGTAGACTGGAAATTCAGAGTAAAATACAAATAGTAAATATATGAAAAGACATTCTCACTATTGCTCAGGGACCTGCAGTTTAATGCAGTTCTCTACTTATTTGGCTGACAAAAATGAGAATGACTGATAATTTTAAGCACCACTGATGGTATGAGGAGAAAAGCACTGCTATATCTACTTGGTTAGTCTATAAATTGGTAAAACTTTTTGAAGTCCAATTTGGTGGCACTTGTCAAAATTTTAATGTACATACTCTTTAATCTAGTTCCAGGCATCTAACCTCTAGAAATACATACATTTTCAATGGTGTATTAAAAGGTGTATTTGTTGGAGTAACATTTATAATAGAATTATAGCTAACCTGGATACATAACAATAGAAGAAAAGTTAAGTAAGTTTTGATATGTCTATAACATAAATATAATGTTGCATTAAAAAGATATGCATGTACATGGATAGCAACAGAATATGTTGAGTAAGCAGTTACAGAATGGTATTTAGAGTATAAAACAGATTTTTAAAAAATAGTGTGTGTATGTGTTGTGTTTATATATATATATATATATATATATATATATTTACACACACACACACATCACATATATATCTATTCTACACAGAAGGCTACATGTATGCCAAAAAGTTTCCCTAGGAAATGGGGTAAGGGGACTTCAACTTCTTATTTCATAGGTTTTGCATAAATTGGATTTATTTTTAATAAACTAGTATGTATTCTGTAACTTTAAAAATTAGCAAACAAAAACAAAACTAAAAGCCTTCCTCTTTGGTGCTTAACAATTAACAGGGGTAGCTAGAATACACATTGGTAATTTTCTAAGTTCTTTTGGGTTTTACCTCTTTTCAAAGTGACACTACAGAATAGTTACATACCATGATAAGATTCACCTACTTTCTGAAGAAACAATTTCACAGGTGTATACTTTTAACATTATGCTTTTAATTTTTATTTAGCATGGACAGAAAAAAAAACCACACAAAACTCTGCTGAGAAGAAAAGGCTCCTCTGATCCTCACAATAGGTAAAGTTCCTCTGTTATATTCCCTCTTGGCACCTTGGGCCTCTTGTTAACACTTACCATAGTTACAATTAAAAATCTGTCTAGTCAGACAAGAATACTTGCCTCCCCTGATAAAGAGTAACTTCCATTAGGGCAGAGTTTTTTGTCTTGCACATCACAGGCACTGAATAAATATTTGTTGGACAAATGAATAAATTTTCTACAAAACATCTACTGAAAACATGAGTAAGATGGAAATCCCTTAGAGCTTTATTCAGGGGGCAATAAATTTATTCTGCATTCCTATGATTCAGAAATGGTTAAAAAATGGTGAATAATGGGACCCAATGTAAAATTTCTAGTCTTGGCTGCTTTAAACTTAGAAGTATGTTACAACATTTCCAACTGTAGTTGTCTTCCTTTGCCTAATGTGACTAGATTATAATTAGATTATATAAAGTTCCTGTGGGCAGTGGTGGTGTTTTCTATTTCCCTTCTATCGATTGTGTTTGCTCACAGTAAACAAGTGTGTAACATATTATTTATATGTGTACATATACAGACATACAAAATATATATAATATCCAGTAAGAAGAAATCATACTCAAAATGACTCATCTATATAAAATTTAATAAGATTTTATCACAACATATAACATGTTCATGTTTTTCATCTTCTATTTTATCATAAGAATCCAAAGCTATGTCTAAAATTGTTTTTCAGCTAATTTTTTTTACTAATTCTTTTATGTATTTCCCAATATCTTTGGCATGAAGGTAACTTACTTGTATCTAGCACTTCAATGTTTTTGAAAAACAATATTAATGACAGCTAAAATTCACATTTAAATGCTTCATATGTACCAGGCAATGTGCTCATTCTTTACATGTATTATCTCATTTAATTTTCATAATCTATAAGATAAGCATGTTTATAGTCACCATTTGATATACGAGCACAGTGAGGCTTAGAAGGTTCATGTGATTTTGCTCAATGTGTACAGTTTTAGGTGGTAGAAACAGAATCTGACCCTGGATTCTGCAACCCTCCCTGTTTCCCACTGCACTGTTCTACGCCACAGGGGCCTATTGTGCTTCTTCCACAAATACTGTCCTACCACTTGATCCTCGTAACAAATAACTCTGTGCAAGGCAGACAAAGCAGGGCAAAGATCACTGTCTACTCTTTAAGTAAAAACAAAAGAAAACTATGGCTCAAGAAGGCTTAAGTCATATAGCTAATAAAAGGCACAGGCAAAGCTCAAACGCAGGTCATCTGATCTTCATCAAGTGCTTTGTCTCTCAGCCACTGAAGACTGGGATAATGAGACAAAATGATATGGTTTTGTTTTAAAATTTCTGGTTTTTGGTGGTGGTCCTTTCCTTTTCATCATCTGGTTCAGGACAGGACTTTATATATAACTATTATGTAATATTAACTACACAATGATAAATGACTCTATCTCTGATTTGACAAAAGAAAGATGGAACACATTAAGTAATCACAGTTTACTTAAGTTGCATCAATTTTGTACACAATGAATCCATTTTTGTGCGAATATCACTAAAAAGGAATGAGACAGAAAAGTGAAACAGAATACATAAGTAAGAGACATTCACATTACCTTTGGATATCTTTTCTTTTGGCTGAGAGATAACAAGTGTCACATCTTCAGGTGCATTTTGCAAAATTTCAATTGCAGCATGGTGGCTGACTCCCTCCAGACTCACACTATTCACAGATATCAAACGGTCTCCTGTACAAATAGACAATCCAGTATTTTCAACAACAAAGATACATTTATTCTGAATCTTAGAAATATCATCTCTTTCTCAATTATTTTAGTTTGGCCTAAGTTCCTAAATTCATGCCTGTCAGAAAATACTTAGAAAACTACCAAAATGTAAAGTACCTGGCTTCAAGCATCCATCCAAGTCAGCTGGTCCTCCAGGGGCAACTGAACTGATAAATATGCCTAGGTCCAGTCTTCCCATCTTCTCCCCACCAATAATTTGAAATCCTGTAAAATAACACATTTTAAAAAGATTTTCATATTGCTGCTTTCAAAGACTAATGATTAGCCTGCCTGAAACACAGAAATGTGGGGACTATTGATATCAAATGATTAGTAGGTAACACATATTAAATTTTGTGGAAGTATTTCTTGTAGGCATTTCTTATTAGGCATTTGGTGACTGGGCGGGTAGGTTGATGGGCTTGTAGGTGGGCAGCCAGTCAGTATCTTGAGACCAGAAGTGAGCTGGCACTGCAATGCCAATGCTATGCTATAGACTTTTCCTCTGAATCCCCAACAATCATAGACCTTCAAGAATCTCACGGTGACTTACCCAAGCCATACTTTGCATCTTTTTTCAGGTTCACTAAGGTGATCTCCCTTTCTGGTGAAGATACTATGCTCCATCTTTTGTGTAGCACATCTATTGGGAATTTATAATTTAAAAATAAATATAACATGCTCAGGCATTAAGACTGTCAGCTTGTTTTAACAATTTAAATGTTAACAAAGTGTGTTAATTGCTCAGTCACTTAAACATATATTTTAAGTTTACTGATACTGTTAACATTTTATATTTTTATAGTGATTTATAATTTATAAAATGACTACGTATTACATTTATTCTTCATAAGCTATTCTTTTGAAATAAGTATATTTCAGTTACAAATGATTAAATAAACCTCAATAGGTTAAATGATTTGCACAAGTTTAGTCAGCTAGTACAGGAAAGAGCCGAACTTTTCAATTTAGGTTTTCTGTTTGTTACACCATAATCAACTCCCTGAATTTGACAGTGCTTAATATATTAAAAAATTCCTTCTAATTAATGGTTGGCATTTTAATTTATAACTGGTAAAATATTCTTAGTAAGTTCTTGAGTAAAATAGCAAGAGGAAACTGGATTTTTTTTTTTTTTTTGAGACAGAGTCTTGCTTTGCTACTCAGGATAAGTGTAGTGGCATAATCACAGCTCACTGTAGCCTTGACTCCTGGGCTCAAGCAGATCCTCCCACCCCAGCTTCCTGAATAGCTAGTACGACAGGCACGTGCCAACATGCCCAGCTAATTTTTTATTTTTGTAGAGATGGAGTCTATGTTGCCCAGACTGGTCTTGAACTCCTGGCCTCAAGTGATCCTCCTATCTAGGCCTCCAAAAGAGCTGGAATTTCAGGTGTGAGCCACGGTACCTGGTCAGAAACTGGATCTATTAATAGTTCCATTAATAATTCCTTGTCTAGCACATGTACTCTCAAAGGATCTTCATTCATTTCAAATTTTATTTGTGAAACAATCTCACAAGTAAGTAAAGAGATTTTTAACCATTGTTTTGCAGATGAGGAGTAACAGTTAGTGACCTGCTCAACATAATAACTAGTATCAGTGCCCATTAAAATGCCTGAAGTCAGTCCTTGATAAATCCTAGTTAAATAAATTGAATAAATGTCATAATCAGAACTAGAATTTACTCTTTCTTATTTCCACTAGGTTTTTTAAAGTAGGCTAATCATTCACAATTAACTTCTGAAACCAATAAATATGACACTTAATTGACATGTTTATCAAGTTAATTCATCTACTTCGCAATTCAAGCATTTACACAAACACACACTTCTTAACATCAATTACAATGACAGTTCAAATTGGTCTGTGTGTGAAGGTGTTGGTGGTGGTCAGTTCGTTCAACATATTCCTAAGGATATTTTTGTAAAGTGAATTTTCAAATTCAACTCTACATACTTCTCAACTATATTGAAGCTTTCTGAAAATTAGAGGTTTTGGTTTCACTAAACTGTAAGCCAGAATTTCCTTAGACCTTCATATGCATTTTTGTAACAACCAAATCAGTATGAAAACAGACTTTATTTCTGTATGTGCAACATATAACCACCCATGGACTTAAAATTGCATTAATATGTCACAAAACAAATAGTAATTTTGTCACAAAACTTGTATTGATGCTTAAATGATGTAAATGTGATACTTCATATTGTATAAATAAATTCCTTTAATTTCAAAAGACAATAACAACAATAATTTCCTCTCAGGAGTGAATTAGCCTTGTATCTCAATACTGTTTTGATGCAAGTTTGCTAGATCTCTGTAGAGTATATATTCCTATTCTGTTGTTTCTTTTTGACCAAAACTTAGTTATTAGCAATAAGAGTAGTGGTAATTCGGTATTTCTAATGATTTTATTAATTAAATTACAAAAACTATCATTGGACAATGGTGTGAAGTACTTTACATATTAGGTGATCCTAAGCAAAAGCCCATCCATTATTTAATGCCTAGTTTAATGAGTTTAAGTATCCAAGATCCTTTTATCAAAAAATAGGCAATTAGTTCTATTTTTTAGCTAGAACAAATACAAAACAACACAGAACAAAACCCATAAAATTAAATAAAACAAATAAGGGGGTGAGGTCACATTAGGAACTGAAATCAGTATAGCCTTTAAGAGACCACATTGATGAGGTGGTAAGAGAGAACAGATTAAAGCAAAGTGCTTTGTAAAGTGATTAAATGATGATCATTGCTTTAAATTTCCATTTCCTCCTTCAAGTTTCAGATTTAATAACCCACCGTTCAGGAATTGGGATACTTGGAAACTAAGGAAATCCATTATTCTATGGTAGGTACTTAATAAGTCCATTAGGCATACAGTTCCCAGAAAATCAAAACCCCAAGCAGTAAAGACGGAATAAAATGAAAGAAGAAAGAGAAAATGGCTTGAGGAGACTAATGGTTGAGTTGCTCTGGTTCTCATCCCAACTAAGAATAAAAAGGCACTTAACTGTGGTGAGTTTTAAACATCCCAACAAACCCATCAAAAGTTGAAAATACCCTAAGTCAAAAATGCATTTAATACATCTAACCTACTAAACATCCCAGCTTTAGCCTAGCCTAACTTAAATATGCTCAGAACACTTATGTTAACTTATAGTTGGACAAAATCATCTAAAACAAAGCCTATTTTACAATAAGGTGGTTACTATCTCATGTAATTTACTGAATACTGTACTGAAAGTGAAAAACAGAAGGGTTGTAAGGGTACTCAAAGTACAATTTTTACTGAGTGCTTATTTCTTTTGCACCACTGTAAAGTCAAACCATGATAAGTCGGTGACCATCTATAGTTCGTGGTTTGGACACTTCAGGAAGCAACATGACAAACTTAGCTAAAAGTTACTTTTCAATTGCTGTATAATAATTACAGTAAAACAAGAAACATTAAAATCAATTTTACATAATTCTTGGAAAAGTTTTTACATATTTTTGTTTTTACTCTTACAAAGGAAAATAACCAGTGTTTTTTTTTTTAAGTTGAGCAACTTTTGTTTTTGAAATCACAATTTATCAAGGGATTAGAATCCTTTCCATATCACCTTTTCAAAGTGTGAGATTAGAAGAATCATGACTTTTTTATCTTTTCTTTCAAATTTCACATTCTTTAAGAATCTCTGGAGGCCATAAAAGGTAAGAGCGAATATAATACATTCATCCTTGTTCTAAGTGATGAATAATTTAATATTAACTGATGTCCATTTATAATTTTCATCTAATAATCTTGACCAGCAGGAAGAACATTGAAATTAGAGTAAGAGGTCCCATATTTGAGGCATGGGCAAGTAATTTTACTTTTTGATCCTTAGTTACACTATTTGCAAAAACATGTTTGCCATGCTGTATTATGTGAAAACTTGATTCTCAACAGAGTACTAATTCAGGCTACTTGGCCAGATTCAAAGAGCGTTTTGAAGAAAATATAGCCTTGTTTGCAAGCTAACTGAGGCATACCTCTATATGAAGGTGGATTGGCCCTACTGTCCAGGGCAGGTGAGACTTTAAGCCTTCTGAAGGTTTAAATAGAGAAACTAACCAATGTAAATTCATGCTCATTGGCTATCCAATGTACATTCATATTCTTTTTCATCATAATCTAAGCTAAAACACATTTAAAATTATCATACTTGAATAGATTATTATCCAGCTTCTTTCAAAAGTTTAGCAGGGAGAAATAATACTTAGGCATGATCACATTATGAGGAGGTCTAAAGAGTAGATTAGAGTGTAGACTCTAGAAACAGATTGCCTTTGTTCAAATCACGGCTCTACCACCTGCTAACTTTGTGACCTTCTGTACAACTTAACTCTCTATGCTTTGGTTTCTTACGTGTGAAAAAAAATAACATTAACACCTACCTCATAGGGTTGTTGTGGGCATTAAATGAGAAATAATAAAAAGTGCTTAGAACAGTGCTTGACACATAGTAAGCACTAAATAACTGTTAGTCAATAATTACTACCATATGGACATGTTAATAACTAAGGTATTTCAGGTATATAGGCATTCTAAATTCAGTCCATGTAAGGAGTTTGATCACTAGAAAGCTATATAACAGGATTAGCAATTTACGTCCAAGTATAAGTTCAATAATTTTTTCTTTAATGATAGGCCCTCATATTTTTCGAGGATACATTCAAAAATAAAATGAGAAGGAAAGAAACCTCATCTTGATTTGCTATGAGTATTTAAGACATTGTGTGTAGTTTTACTTTTAAAAGCAATTTTAATTCCAAGAAAATTTTTTCTGTCTTAAAGAATTAGTATGTGTATTTTTATTAGAGAATGAGAATCATACAAAATAGCACTCTGGTGTTTGACAGTTTTGACCTAAAAATACCCAGCAATTCTATATAGTTCAGTCTTATGCCTTCTGTTTTACCCTGGCTACAGGAATATTGAAACTAAATTTACAACTTCATCAAGTTTAGCTGTATTAATAATTTTAATTAACATAATGGCTTCTTTCTCATCAGGCTTTTAATTATTTCAACTTTAAGAGTCCAAGACTGAAACATTTTTGGAGGAAAGTAGTGTATGGATAGTAATAAAACATTATTTTCTACTCATGAAAGTTGTTAGAAAGATCAAATAAGATAATGTATATGAAAATACTTTGCAATCTAAATTCTAAAAATTTTAAAGCCAGTGATGTTCAAGTCACTGGACATTTCTGGTCTTCTGCCTACGATTTTGTTTCTTAGATTCCTTCTAAACTATAATCTCAGCATTTAAAGTCTTCAAAATATCCTCATAATATTTAGCATAAGATTAAAAACTGGTCCCTACTTAGTTCTCAAACTTTACCCTGGCCCCCACATGCCACCATACTGAGACTCCTGCAGTTCCCTAAATTTCTTTTCTCATGATTCCATGTCTCTGACCATGCTATGCCCTTGATCTGGAATGCTTATCTTTATTGTTCCGTCTGAATGAATCCTCCTTTCCCTCTAAAATTCAGCTCCAGCATCCCTTTAAAATAACTGCCTCAGTTAAAACTCTTTTTAATAGAAATTATCTCCCACCTGAACTATTATCTTAGCTTCCCAATTAGTGTCCTTATCTCTAATTTGTCATTTCATCAACATTAGCCTAAATCAGAGGTCCCATTACATCATTATGATGCTGAAAAATACAACTCTCCTTTAACTTCAATGTAAGATCAAATCCTAGGCATGGAACTCAAGACTCTTCATTGTTAGGTCCAAGACTATCTCAGTAAGGTACAAGAAATGATGGAAATGAGGGGAAAAACATTTTGTAAACCTACCATTTTCTTTTAAGGGTACTTGGGATGAAGAGTTTCCAGAACTATGCATAGTCATTCCTGTGGCATAAATTAAATATTAGACATTTCATAAGATGGTCAGATGCTAGATATCGAAGTGATTTCTTCTGATAAGCTCATAAAAATCAATAGAACAATAAGGCAGCAACATTTTGTATTTACACTGAGAAAACATCCTCCAATGGGCATTTTCACTATTTTAAATAGTAGCTAAGCATAATAACTTATTTTGCAGCATAAATTTAAACACAAATATATTGTTTCTGACAATACTTTGATATATCAAATATGAAATGATGAAACTGGAATGAGTTTTTCATTTGTTCAAGTGTTAAAAGAATATTCATTATTCAGTAAGAATGAATAAATACAAAATGCAGAAAAATTTCCTTTAAGAGTGTTTTATGTTTTCTATAGAGTATTTACTATTTTCCTTCGGATATGTAATGAATTTTCATGTAGACCAAAGCCTTCTTAATGAAAATAGTTTAGAATGTATGAGGCCCCGTTATATGTGAACACTTTGAAAAGTATTTCCTAAAAGATCAAATCAATCTCTTAGCCTATTTTCAACACAGAGTTACCTATAGAATGAAATCTTGCCTTTTATCTAAGTTTTTTTAACTGACTGAAATTAAATTGATAGTATAGTCTCTGAAAGTTGCGAAAGCCTACATTAATAAAGTAATGTTGCTTCCATAAATATTTATGTATTATAATGCAGAATTGTCTTTTGTCTTCATTTACTCGACATACCCTGAATCCAATTATAGAATAAAAAAAGCTTTTAAACTTTGGGTAATTAGAGATAAATTAACAAACCTTGAGCCTAAGAAGAGAGTTTAGTAGTATTTCGTAAGACAACAGAAGGGAAACAGTCCTCATTTCCCTTTTGTTTCCCACGCTGTTTCATATTTTGAGTAGTAGTTCAGATCTCTGTGCTTAAACATCCATTCTTTTCAAAGATCGACTCCAGTGCGTTTCCCTTTTAAGTTGCACAAGGCAACAGGAAACCTGAACTATTTATCTTAAAAGGTAGCATGTATAAAAGGTAAGCATCTTAAAAGGTGCATATATATAGATATATATGCACATGTGCATGCACACACACACACACACACACATACATACAATTTCACTTAAATAATATGCCCTGCTATCTGGGAGAATTTGAAGAAACTGAAATCAACTTAAAAACTTCTACCTATCAACCATAGCACATTTCATAAAATTATCTAAGGTTTTAGAGACAATTTTGTTCCTGCTAAGCTGAAAGCATTCTAAGTAAATGCTTCTCCAAAACTATAGCATTACCAGAGTTCATTCACATCGGCTTGAAAGGAAAAGCCAAAAAAGGTAATCCAAAGTAATGGCACATGACAGTCTTAGTAAGACTGTCATGGCAACTGTGACCAAGAGAAGCTAACAGACTGGGCGTGATGGCTCAAGCCTGTAATCTCAGCACTTTGGGAGGCCAAGGTGGGCAGACCCCTTGAGTCCAGGAGTTCAAGACCAACCTGGGCAACATAGTGAAACCCTGTCTCTACAAAAAAATATAAAAAGCCAGATGTGGTACTGCGTTCCTGTAGTCACAGCTATTCAGGAGGCTGAGGTGGGGGGATCACTTGGGCCCAGGAGTTTGCAGCTGCAGTGAGCCATGATCTCTGCACTCCAGACTGGGTGACAGAGTAAGACCCTGTCTGAGGGGGAAAAAAAGAGAAGCTAATAGTCTGTACCATGAAGCAATCACTTGTTAAATCAAGTGGTAATTTGATTTGGTGCATTTTAAGTAGCCTAAAATTTATATTCAGTTTTGGCAATTAGGACATGGAACCCAAAATAATTTGATAATTAAGATGATCTTGTTCACTTCCCTCTGAGCATGAGGTATGGGACAAAGAAGGTAAGCTTGTTTTTGCTGACCTAGAACATATGCTTGCCCAGGGTCTTCAATGGATGAGGAGTCTGATTCATGTTTCCTCCTTTCAGGACTTCTATTTAAACTCGCAACAGACTTTGAACTGAAGAGGGAAAAGGAAGGTAGGAGGGAAGTGTTAATGTAAAAAAATATGGTGAAAATAATAAAATGTCATAACAAAAAGAAACGTATGAAATGTAGAATTTACAAATATGTAATTGGGTTAGTTAATATGTTCTTACTTATTAAGTTTTGTCACTCCTGCCAAAGATTCTGCATCAGATCTTGACATCTGGTGAGAAGGTTTTCCCACCAACTCTGCAACGGTTTGTGGTGGGGGTTCCATGTTAACAATGACATTTTTCCGATGTGGATAGAGAGAGGCCTGACTGAGATCATGGTATGATTTACTCATCTCTCTAGGCTTTTCCTCCCATGAAGCTTTGTCATTCTTCTCTTTTGAACTGTTTTGCAATGGCTGGTAAAGCGACAGCTCTGAGCAGGATAGCCTCTTCAGAATCTCAGCTTGAACTGATAAAGGTCGAACAGCAAGTTTGTTGAGGGTGCTGCTGGCCAGACTGCCAGTGCTGATTGCTCGTCCCATATTAAATCCTCTAACAGACTCTGCTTGGAGATTCAGGCTCCTAAACGAAGCTCTCTCTACAAGGAAATAGGATTGCTTTACATGATGGTAACGCCACAGTACTTTTATGAGAATAATTATGTTAATAAATAAGCAGCATGCAGTTTTTAATCATTTTGATTGCCAGCATAAGTAGGTAGCTTTCAAAGTGTGGCAATCAGGGTTTTAAAAAGGAGGGTTGAAGATCTGGTTTTCATAACATATTTTCATCTCTTTAGCTTTCTCTTAGTTGCAGCCTACTCAACATTTCCTGCTTCATCTAATGATTTTCTTGGACTCAACAATGTTTGGGGCTCAGGCTTGCTGACACCAAATTCCTTATAGGTTTCAGTTAGAAATGAGAATGACATTTAACACAGAAATTTTCAAACCTAGTACTGTCTCTGCTAAAATATCAGCACCCAAGGATAGGGAGAGGGAGAGACGAAACCTAGATGGGCTGAGATGGTGAATACACACCTGAAAAAGCTATGCAGAGGGGTTTTGCCCAGACAGTTTTTAAAGCTTAAGGCAGATTGCGGTGATGGTGAATTGCATACTTTAAATGGATGAATGTATGGTATTGAATTGTATCTCAATAATGCTGTTACAAAGAAAAAGCATTTATGGCAAATTATTCCTTTTGTTATTTCACTACTATGCCAAACCCACCTTCTCACTGGGCTGACTTAAGGATTTATCTGAGGCAACAGAGGAATGGGAGAATCAAACAGTACTAATCTGTCTGTTTCAGTATCTGTAAATTAACATGATCAGGGAGCTGGGCATCTCTTTATGCTTCAATTTCTTTCACTCCCAAATACACATCCAAAGTTCTCTTATAGAGGCTAAATTTACAGATACTTTATAACAAGTGTTTGGCTATTCTATTTTGTAGGAACCAATGTCACAGTGATATTTTAATATTTGAGGCTAATAACAAAAGCAATGCAGCATATGTAAATGAAGAATAGGAGCAAAGGATTTCAAATGATTTAGTTTTTCATGCAGTTAGTGACCCACATCACAAGGCACTCCCTTTGATGCCCTCTGGAAAGCAGCAATTCTATGTTGTTGCATTCTACACAGAACTAAGTTTGACTGCTACATACAACAACTGGGAAAACTTCCTTTTATAAAGAAAATGTCTCCCTCAAGGGTGCCAGGTGATGATGATGATGATGATGATGATGATGAAGATGAAGAAAAAGGAGGAGGAGGAGGAAGAGGAGACAGAGGAGGAGGGAGGGAGGGGAGAAGGAAGAAAGAAAATATCAAATGATTACTGACTTAGATTCTTGGATTGTTTCATTTATCTTCTACTTCCTAGGAAGATTAATAATTGATATTTTCTCTCAGGCATAAAGAGGTAGGAAAACATTAAAGGTTTTTAATATTCATGCATCAGAATGAAGTTTAAAGAAACATGCCTCATTGTCACTAGGAAAATTCAATGATCTCTCTCTGAAGTGGAAGTGGGCACCAAGTTATAACAAGACCTTAAAAAACAAAGACTTTTAAAAATACACCTTTGTTAAAAATTCCCATAATCAGGCTGGGCGCAGTGGCTCACGCCTGTAATCCCAGCACTTTGGGAGGCTGAGGTGGGCGGATCATGAGGTCAGGAGATCGAGATCATCCTGGCTAACACGGTGAAACCCCATCTCTACTAAAAATACAAAAAATTAGCTGGGCGTGGTGGCAGGCGCCTGTAGTCCCAGCTACTTGGGAGGCTGAGGCAGGAGAATGGCGTGAACCCGGGAGGTAGAGCTTGCAGTGAGCTGAGATCGCGCCACTGCACTCCAGCCTGAGCAACAGAGCGATACTACATTAAAAAAAAAAATTTCCATAATCATCTTTACCTCAAAATATAGTTTTTATTAGAGCAAATAATGCTATTCTATTTTCATTTACTTTACGAGTAGCCTGTAATCAAAGAAGCAAAATAAAGTCTTCAGAAGGAAATGCCTTTACACCCAATAGGTTTCTCCATCCTTAAAGAAAATGTGGACCAAACTTTGGCAGGAATAAGGATAGCAGGCTCAGTTTAGTCAGTTTTGTGAACATATTAGGGAGTATGCTATTCAAATCCATTTGTAGCCTACTCTTGGATATGGGATGGGATCATAAACCAACCATTTATCTGGTCTTTCCTACTGCCTTTTACCTGGAAAGAACTCCAACATAGATTAGAATGAGCCTGTATCCTAATACTAATGTTTCAAATTTGAACACAAAGGCTCGCTAGCTCCACACTGTCTGCAATCCATACTTCCTAATCTGTTTCTGCTATTGTTCAGTCCCTGGTACCATTTTGTGCTTCCTTATATCTCCAGCTTAATCATATTCTCTTTTTATGAGAGGGACTTCATTTATTCTCTTATCCCATAGTAGTGTGCACTTATAAATAGTAAATGCTCAATAATTGATTAATCTTAAATCCATGCAAATCAGTTCTTGGGAAACTCATCAAACAGAAAGTACCCTGGATTAGGAATTAAGAGACCTCTATATATGACATGAGGGCAAAACACTATCTTCTCTGAACCTGTTTTGCCATTAGTAAAATTTTGAACTTAATGACCTGTAAGGTTCTTTCTAGCATCAATATTCTATGACTCTAAAGAAGCAGCATACATTTGTTAGCCCATTAACCGCCCACAGATAACACCAGTTGTTTTCACTTGTAGTACAAATAAACAGGCAGACAGTTACTTATAAGCCAAGGGGAAAAATATAGATCACACCATCTTAAAGTGCTTTCACTTTTGAGGGCAAGGATACATAGCTGTTGTGATCCTGGGGGTAAACCTGTTATATCTATATATACAACATTATTCCCAGCCCCACTCCATGGATGAAGAAACTGAGATTCTAAAAAGTCACTTACTTTCCTAAGGTCATTCATTCATCTACTACTACTACTGCTGCTGCTGCTGCTGCTGCTGCTGCTGCTGCCGCTGCTGCTGCTGCTACTATTACCGCTATTACATAGTATAGCAGCATATAGTATAGTAGTAGTACTATCTTCTAGAGGTAAAACATTGTTGATGATGGTGATGACAATGATAATGAATACTTCAGTAAATATTTACTGAATACTTTGTGCCAGGTAGTTTTAAAGGATTCTACACGTATGAATTCATTTCCTTTTCACAACTTTCTGATATAGGTATTATCTTATGGCAATCATTCTATAGATAAAGTAACTAAGGCAAAGAGTTTAAGTAGCTTGCCCAAAGTTTTAGGGCTTGTAAGTGACAGAGCCTAATTTGCCACTGGCAATTTGGCTCCTGAGCTCATGCTCTTAACTGCTATACCATATTGTTCTTCAGTATAAGAAATGTTGAGGATGACAGACTAACTTCAAACTTTTGTCTTCTGATTCTGTTCACTATACAACAACTATAATGAAGTAATCTTCAGTTGTTATGGATTGTACTGAATAGAATATTAGTCAAAGTAAGAATGCTGATGGCTCTAATAGGTCTGATATTTCACTATACTTTGAAAATATATGAGCATATAAACTTTCTAGCAGAGCAAAGCAGAAAGAGAATAATGATATTATAGCAGTGGTTATTGTATTTTAGCATGTGTAAAAATCATTACTGAGTTGGGAGGCCGAGGCGGGCAGATCACGAAGGTCAGGAGTTTGAGACCAGCCTGGCCAACATAGTGAAACCCCGTCTCTACTAAAAATACAAAAATTAGCTGGGCGTGGTGGCGGGTGCCTGTAATCCCCTAGTCTGGAGGCTGAGGCAGGAAAATCGCTTGAAACCAGAAGGCGAATGTTGCAGTGAGCCAAGATTGCACCCAAACAAGATTTTGACAAGAGCGAAACTCCGTATCAAATAAAAGAAAAAACAAAACAAAAAAAAACATTACTGAGGAAAGCCTGTTAAAGTACAGATTTTAGGGAACAAATTCCCAAAGACTGTAGCTCTCTGAGTTTTACGTAGGTTCCTGGAATCTTCATTTTAAATCAGCATACAACCTCCACCCCTATCATGATTCTGAAAGGTTGAGAAACATCTAGTCATAGGTTGCCATCGCCCCAGTCTGCCCTTATGGGGAAAACATTTTTTGAATGTGAAACAGTTTGGGTAAAGAATTCATAGGACCCTGCTGCACAAGGTCATCAGTGCTATTCCATTAAATTTTTAAATCACATACTTCTGACTGTTTCACTTATACCTATAAGAATTTACTATGTAGAATTAGATTTTGTATAATTTTAATCTCTAATTGCAGAAATCACCAAATCAGTTTTATCTCTCTGAAATTTAAATATTTCAGTTCTGATTGAGATATTTTTTCCAGAGTCAGATGAGTTTCTTCTGCTGGCTCCTTTTCAAAAGAAAATAAACCATTCTCCTGACCATTTACATTGGGTACTATGATTATTCATCTCAATCTCAGAACAGGGATGCACCCAAGTAAAACTAATAGGTAGTAAATCTGCCACCCAGAAGACTATACAGTGTGTCTCTTCACTGTCCTGTTCTGGGTGCATACTTCCCCCATCCTCTGCCTTGTTTCCTGTGTTTTTTCCCTCATCTCTAAAGCCCTTCCATTTATCTCCAAACTACTTGCATTATTTTTATCCTTTATATCCAATTCAAGTGCCACCTGTCCAGTACTCTAGTCTCTGATTTCCCTCTTCTAACAGTATAGGTCATAAAGTCTGTTCAATATAATCTGTTCTTCAAATCCTGAATTTTTTTTTTTTGAGACAGAGTCTCGCACTGTCGCCCAGGTTGGAGTGCAATGGTGCGACCTCAGCTCACTGCAACCTCCGCCTCCCAGGTTCAAGTGATTCTCCTGCCTCAGCCTCCCAAGTAGCTGGGATTACAGGTGCCCGGCAACACGCCTGGCTGATTTTTTGTATTTTTAGTAGAGACAGGGTTTCACCATGTTTGCCAGGCTGTTCTCAAACTCCTGACCTCGTGATCCACCCGCCTCAGCCTCCCAAAGTGCTAGGATTACAGGCGTGAGCCACTGTGCCTGGCTGAAATCCTGAACTTCTATTGTGTATTGCTGTTTCAAGCATGTTGGTCTTACCCTTCCAAATATTGGATAAGCTTACTGAGGGTAGAGAACATGGCCCAAATGTTTATAATGTTTACATCAACTAGCCTATCATTGCTAAGCACAAAATGGACACTTCAACAGGTACTCCCTAGGAGTATTCTCTCAGGGTGAACATGAAATTGAAATATTGGCTTCACTTGTAACACCTTTATAGACTTGATTTAGCTATTTAACATGTATATACATTGTAAGTTTTCATCCTAATCATGGCAGTTCTTTTAAAACTTGGTGGCAAAAATTATTCATATTCCCAGGAGTCATCTGAAATAGTCTGCTTCTCCTTACCAATATCTTGGGCATCTTGGTTGCTCTGTCTTGCTCTCATCTGTAGCTGGAACTTATGCTGGTAAGAGCAGAGGTGCAGCAGGTACTGGCATATCTTACTGTTGTCTGTCTGGAAGCCATGTTTTATTCCATCTGATGTATTTTGCAATGTGATTTTCTTTTTCTACAATATTAACCAAGGGTATTCATAATTATAGTAAGTAGAGATATTATTTATATTTCTTGTTAGGCACTGGATATTGACTTACATCTAATATGAATATAATCCTATATAGTCATGCATCACTTAACAATAAAGACATGTTCCAAGAAATACATCATGAGGCGATTTTGTCATTGTGCAAACATCCTGAAGTGTACTTAAACAAACTTAGATGGGCTAGCTTACTACTACACACCTAGGCTATATGATGTAGCCTATTGCTCCTAGGTTTCAAACCTGTACAGCATACTACTGTACTAAATACTGTAGGCAATTGTTTGTGTAGTATACATCTAAACACAGAAAAGGTGTGGTAAAGATACAACATTATAATCTTATGGGACCACCATTGCTCGTGGTCAGTTGTTGACTGAAAAATCGTTACATGGCACATGACTGTATTATTATAAACAAATGCAAGAAATAAATTAACATCGTTTGCCACTTTCAGAAATTGTAGCCTAAATCTAGATTGTATATATCAGTCATTAACAAGGGAAACAGATTCCTTTGATAAGATTATTGATATTTTGAATTTATGGTAATGTTTACAAACACCAAAACTGTTTGAAAAGGAAATAATAAATATGTGTTCTACTCTATTGGATACAAGAAAATGAAAGTTTAACAATAATTTTTTTATTAATATATAATGATAAGAGCCAGGATTCAGTCAAGTAGAGTCTGGGTGGCATAAAGGCTGAATAGAAGTTGTGGAAAATTAAAGAAAATGTGAGATGGAAAGGTACTGGTAACATAACTGCTGGGTTGAGAGATAAAACACATTGATATTTAGAGATGGTGATTTGTGCCAAATATAGAGAAAGTAGGAGAATCATCAAATCAGTTTTATCACTCTGAAATTTCTTGAAAACTGAATGTCTTTTGTGGAAGAGAGCATACTCCAATTTGTGACCTATATGGTAAGGCTTGCTGGTGACCCATGCCTTAAGAGACCAGTGTTCAACATGTCGGGGATCTAAGACTAATGTCTCTGGAGAACCACTTAAGTCCAGTTAGACTGTACTCTAGCTCTTGGCTACTGTGCAGATTATTCTACTTCATGTTCCTTGTCTTTACTTCAAATACGGAAATAGTCATGGAAAAGCCAAATTTAGTAGGCTTTCAAAAGTTGTAATAACAGAGTATTACCCAGACTTCAATCCTGTCATCTTTACAATTTCTAGCCTTGGTTATTTATAAATTTTTCAATGGACTTTTCTTATTTATATAAATTCAAAGAAATTTTAGAAATATAACAACATTGTTAAATTCTAGCTAGATATTGTTGCCAATGAAAGCTCCAGGATTAAACCTGTTTTCTTTGTTAGAAACAGAAATTAGTAAGTATTAGAGAGGAGCTAAAGATACAGTAGCAACAAACTAGTATCTTCATTATCAGTAGTATACCTGGTAACTCTTCAAATACTTGGAGAACATTTTTTTTTTCCCCTAACAAACATGCCACTTAACCACTGTCAAGGAATTTGCAAAGACACTGAACTCCATAGTTGTAAAACTCTCTCACTGATTCAAGCATAAACATGAAAGAAAGAATCTTCTTAGTTGATCAGTCAAAAGAACTACAGAACCACTACCTATAATAAAACACCCAAAGGCAGCAAATATCACACACAAAAAATGCCAGAGATAGGTTAGAGGTTCATATTAATTATGAAAAGTGATAGTATAGATGATTTAATATCTAAGAAAGATGTATAGTCTTGAAACACATACAAAGAATATTTGATTCTCTCCAAGTGTTAATGGATGGACTGGATAAGAAATGTGCTTGAGAGAACTCAGTTGTGAGATATGAGAAGACCAAATAGTAACTTTTCCACTTCCCCAGAGGTTAGTAGAAGAAAAAAGGAGAGTTAAAAAAAATAGTTTTGTGTTAGAGAAAGAACTTCAGGAAAAATGAATGCTATTAAATATAGGAATAATTTCCATGGGAATGCAAACTATTCTCTATTCCCACAAATCTTTAAAAATGAACTAATCACAGCTCGTTCTATATATGTGGGTTAGTGTGGTAGCTTGGCAAATTACATAGAGTTGACTGCTGTGTGATTATTTGACTTGTCACCTTTTCAAAACGGTCCAAAACTGGATTTATAATTAATCAATCTAAGGTTTCCTTCAGACATGGGCTCTGCCAGCATTTCCACTGGGGGAAGGTAAGTTAAACCCAGGTAATTTCTTGGTCCTGACAATCTTGAGAAGATGTGGGTGGTCTGGAGAACATATAATCTGGAAATCTTAGTGATATCTCTTGGTTTCAGAGGAAGCCAATCAACTAACCATTAGGTCTAGGAATGGTCTCAGGGTTGAAGATTATCCAGATCCATCAGGACCTTGGTAACTTTATAAATACTGTTTTGCTGAGACTATACTTTAGCCTAAAGATGAACTAAAGGTATCAGTAGTTCCTGAATAGCACTAGGAAAACAAACACCTGAACATATTAATATTTTTTATTCATCTCTGAAGTCTGCCAATGGAACTTTAATGTTCAGGTGTCCCAACTAGGTCCAAAATCAAAATATGCCTTTATCACTAACTATCTTCCATAAACATA
Organism: Homo sapiens; assembly: GCF_000001405.40. Classification (NCBI taxonomy): domain Eukaryota; kingdom Metazoa; phylum Chordata; class Mammalia; order Primates; family Hominidae; genus Homo; species Homo sapiens. The sequence continues at coordinate 86,742,345 of NC_000004.12, read as the reverse complement.
TTATTTTCTAAAAATCATTTTCTAACTTTATAGAGAGCTGTACACTAAAAATCTAAAATTGCGGAAAGTCCTGGGACTAGTTCATAAAATCCAGTAAGTCTCTGTACCTCTGAGATTCAAATAACAGTTGCTACGAGGGGGTTTACTATTGGGCCAGACAAGGTTCACTAGGGTTAAGATAACTATCTTTCTTAAAAACATTAGGAGGATTTCTCCATGTGAGAAGTTACAACCCTAGAATAAATTCTGACTTATTCAGAGAATTCAACTTGGTTGTAATTTAACTAAAGTTAATTGAGCATATAACCAGCCAGGAATGTGTAATAATCTTAAAAGTCACCTGTTGAAAAAACCAGACATAAATAAAATCTCAATAATAATTTCCACAACTACAAAGGAAGAGTTAAATAGTATTAAGATGTATTATCCCCACTGAATGGCAGAGTCTAAGGAAAGTCTGTTAATATGTTACATTGGAAGTTGGTAATATCATTTGAAAATATAATGAAAAGAGGTTAAATGGACATACAGAAAAAGATATTTTCTTGGTTTCCCTCCATGGAAAGCGAAGGACCAATGTGCGCACTCCATTGTGAACTTCAAACACAAGGACACCTTTAGAACAGACTCCAAGCAATATTCCTGTTTGTGACTTCTTCTCAGGGTGCACTCGGTGAAAATGAACTCCATATTCTGTCAGTCTTTGGCAGACCTGTTGGAATAATACCATACCATAGCAATACACTTTGGTAAATGGTGACATAAAGATATTGAAGCTGTATGATATGGTTTGGCCGTGTCCCCCCACAAATCTCATCTTGAATTCCCACATGTTATGGGAGAGACCCACTGAGAGGTAACTGAATCATGGGGGCAGGTCTTTCCTGTGTTGTTCTTGTGACAGTGAATAAGTCTCATAAGATCTGATGGTTTTAAAAGGGGAGTTTCTCTGTACAAGCTCTCTTCTCTTGTCTGCCTCCATGTGAGACATGCCTTTCACCTTCTGCCATGATTGTGAGGCCTCCTCAGTCACATGGAACTGTAAGTCCATTAAAGCTCTCTCTTTTGCAAATTGCCCTGTCTCAGGTATGTCTTTATCAGCAGTGTGAAAATGGACTAATACAGTAGATTGGTACCAGTAGAGTGGGCATGGCTGAAAAGATACCTGAAGATGTGGAAGTGACTTTGGAACTGGGTAACAGGCAGAGGCTGAAACAGTTTGGAGGGCTCAGAAGAAGACAGGAAAATGTGGGAAAGTTTGGAACTTTCTAAAGACTAGTTGAATGGCTTTGACAAAAATGCTGATAGTGATATGAACAATAAGGTCCAGGCTGAGGTGGTCTCAGATGGAGATGAGGAACTTGTTGGGAACTTGTTGGGAACTGGAGCAGAGGTGACTCTTGTTATTTTCTTTTTCTTTTTCTTTTTTTTTTGCAAAGAGATTGGCAGCATTTTGCCCTTTCCCTAGAGATTTGTGGAACTTTCAACTTGAGAGAGATGATTTAGGGTATCTTGTGGAAGAAATTTCTAAGCAGCAAAGCATTCAATATGTGACTTGGGTGCTGTTAAAGGCGTTCAGTTTTAAAAGGGAAACAGGGCATAACAGTTTGGAAAATGTGCAGCCTGACAATGTGATAGAAAGAAAATTCCATTTTCTGAGGCAAAATTCAAGCTGGCTGCAGAAATTTACATAAGTAACAAGGAGCCAAATGTTAATCACCAAGACAATGGGGAAAAGGTTTCCAGGGCATGTCAGAGACCTTTGCAGCAGCCCCTCCCATTGCAGGCCTGGAGGTTTAGGAGGAAAAAATGGTTTTGTGGGCCGGGCCCAGGGTCCCTCTGCTGTGTAGAGTCTAGGGACTTGGTGCCCTGTGTCCCAGCCACTCCAGCTATGACTAAAAGGGGCCAAGGTACAGCTCAGGCTGTTGTTTCAGAGGCTGGAAGCCCCAAGCCTTGGCAGCTTCCACATGGTGTTGAGCCTGTGAGTGCAGAGAAGTCAAGAACTGAGGTCTGGGAACCTTCGCCTAGATTTCAGAGGATGTATGGAAATGCCTGGATCCCAGGGAGAAGTTTGCTGCAGGGGCAGGGCCCTAATGGAGAACCTGTGATAGGGCAGTAGGGAAGGGAAATGTGGGGTTGGAGCCTGCACACAGAGTGCCAACTGGAGCACCACTTAGTGGAGCTGTGAGAAGAGGGCCACTGTCCTCCAGACCCCAGAATGGTAGATCCAACGACAGCTTGCACCATGCACCTGGAAAAGCCACAGATACTCAACACCAGCCCATGAAACCAGCCAGGAGGGGTCTATACCCTACAAAGACACAGGGGCAGAGCTGCCCAAGACCTTGGGAGCCCACCTCTTGCATCAGCTTGACCCGGATGTGAGACATGCAGTCAAAGGAGATCATTTTGCAGCTTTAAGGTTTGCCTGCCCTGCTGGATTTCAGACTTGCGTGGGACCTGTATAGCCCCTTTGTTTTGGCTAATTTCTCCCATTTGGAATGGCTGTATTTACCCAATGCCTGTAACCCCCATTGTACCTAGGAAGTAACTAACTTGCTTTTGATTTTGCAGGCTCATAGGCAGAAGGGACTTGCCTTATCTCAGATGAGACTTTGGACTGTGGACTTTTGGGTTAATGCTGAAATGAATTAAGACTTTGGAGAACTGTTGGGAAGGCATGATTGGTTTTGAAATGTGAGGACATGAGATTTGGGAGGGGCCAGAAGTGGAATATGGTTTGGCTGTGTCCTCACCCAAATCTCATCTTGAATTTCCACATGTTGAAGGAGGGACCCAGTGGGAGGTAAGTGAATCATGGGGACAGGTCTTTCCCATGCTGTTCTCATGATAGTGAGTAAGTCTCACGAGATCTGATGGTTTTAAGGAGGGGAGTTTCCCTGTACAAGCTCTCTTCTCTTGTCTGCTGCCATGTGAGACCTTCCACCGTGATTGTGAGGCCTCCCCAGCCACATGGAACTATAAGTCCATTAAACCTGTTTCTTTTGTAAATTGCCCAGTCTCGGGTATATGTCTTTATCAGCAGTGTGACAAAGGACTAACACACTATATCAATGTAGTTTAATGTGGAAAGGATAATCTTTTAAACAAAGGTTACTGGGACAACTGTATATCCACATGCTAAAAAAATGAATTTCAACCCTTACTTCACCCTACACATGAAATTTAACCAAAAATGGACCACAGACCTAAATACAGGCACTAAAAGCATAAAACTTAGAAGGTGTCTGTGACCCTGGGTTGGGCAAAAATTTCTTAGATGGAACACAAAAACCATAAACTAGAAAATAAAAAAAATTGGAAACTTCATTAACATTGAAAACTTGCTCATCAAGAGTTAATGTTGGCTGGCACAGTGGCTTATGCCTGTAATCTCAGCACTTTGGGAGGCCAAGGCAGGCAGATTACTTCAGGCTAGGAGTTTGAGACCAGCCTGGCCATCATGACAAAATCCTGTCCCTATGAAAAATACAAAAATTAGCCAGGTATGGTGGTGCACATCTATAATCCCAGCTACTCAGGAGGCTGAGGAAGAAGCATCACTTGAGCCTGGGAGGTGGAGGCTGCAGTGAGCCAAGATCGCACCACTGAATTCCAGCCTGGGCAACAGAGTGAGACTCTTAAAAAAAAGAGTCAATGTTAAGAAAATGTAAGGCAAGCCACAGACTAGGAGTAAATAAATATATGTAAAACCCACATATCTGATAAAAGACTTGTATCCAGAATATTTAAAGAACATGTACTTCTTAACAGTAAGGAAACATATAACCAGTTACAAAAGGGGGTAAAAAGTTTTATTTGACACATCAATAAAGATGATATATAAATGGCAAATAAACACATGAAAAGATTGGTCAACATAAATAGTAATGAGGGAAGTACAAATTAAAACCATAATAATATACCACTATTCACCTATTTCAAATGTTAAAGTGAAAAAGACTGAAACTACCAAGTGTTGTCAAGGATGTGGAGCAACTGAAATTCACACACTGTTGGTAGGACTGTAAAACTGTACAATGATTTTGGAAAACAGTTTGGAAGTTTCTTACAAAGTTAAACATGCACTTGCCATAGGTCCCAGCAATCCTACTGCTAGATATTTACTCAGGAGAAATAAAAACTGTGTTCACAGAAAAATGTGAACTGGAATGTTTATAACAGCTTTATATCTATCAACTAATGAAAAGAATAAGCAAATTATGTATCTGCACAAAGAAAAACTACTCAGAAAAAAAAAAGAAAAGAAACTACTGATATATACCACACCATGGATGAATCTTAAAAGTATTATTCTAGGCCAGGCACAGTAGCTCACACCTGTATCCCAGCACTTTGGGAGGCCAAGGTGGGCGGATCACAAGGTCAAGAGATCGAGACCATCCTGGCTAACATGGTGAAACCATGTCTCTGCTAAAAATATAAAAAATTAGCCAGGCGTGGTGGCATGTGCCTGTAGTCCCAGCTACTTGAGAGGCTGAGGCAGGAGAATGTTTGAACCCGGGAGGCAGAGGTTGCAGTGAGCCGAGATCATGCCACTGCACTCCTACCTGGCAACAGAGTGAGACTCTGTCTCAGAAACAAAAAAAAGTATTATTCTAAGTGAAAGAAGCCAGACATAAAAGACTGTATATTATATTATTTTTTACATGACATTTTAGAAAAAAAAAAACACTATGGTAATAGCAGATCAGTAGTTGCTAAGGATTACAGGTAGGGGGAGGGGACTGACTATAAAGAGACAAGAGGGAGCTTTATGTATTCGAAATGTGCTGTATCAGGAGTTGGTAAACTTTTCTGTAAAGGGCCAGATAGTAAATATTTCAGGCTTTGTGGGTCATATGATCTTTATTGTTATGACTGGACTTTGCTGTTATAGTATGAATGCAGACATAGATGATATATAAAGAAATGAGTATGGACTAGTTCCAATAAAACTATTTACAAAACAGGCAGGCCACAGTTTGCTAACCCTTGTTCTCAAGACTGTGGAGGTGATTGCTGAACTGTATACATATTTTTATATTTTATTATACTAATTTTTTACTTTTATTTTATTTTATTTTATATTTTATTTTATTTTATTTGAGATGGGGTCTTGTTCTGTTACTTAGGCTGGAACCCAGTGACAAGATCAAAGCTTACTGCAGCCTCAAACTCCCAGGCTCAAGTGATCCTACATCAGCCTCCCAACCAGCTGGGATTACAGGCATGCATCCCTAACTATGCCCAGCTCAACTGCACATATATTTTAAAAACTCACCAAACACTTAAAAATGGTAAATTTTATTGTATGTAAATTATACTGCAATAAAGCAGATTTACGAAAGATATTTCAAAAACAACATAATATATAGCAAAAGTGTAGCCTTAGAAGGTTGTGTTAACAAGATAAAACTTCTTAAGTTAGAAGAAAGATGCTAAAGTTAAAGTGAAATGAAGTAACAGAATATATTATTAGAAGGAGTAGGGCAACCTAATATTCCTTAGGCATGCTATTTACAAGGAGAAAACTGAGACTTAGAGAAGTTAAACACATTGTTCAAGGTCACTCAGCTAGTTGAAATAAGAATTCAAATGCAAGACTGTCTGTCTGCAAATCCTCATGCAAATTCTTTTCACTGTGCCAATCTGCCTTCTACCTTTATTAATAAAATTATAATGTAACATCTTACTTTCTACAAGTATAAAAATGTAATAACTAAGAAAAGTATAAGTCCATAATTTAATATCTTTAAATTTGGACTCAAACAGAAAAAACCACCTTGCCTTTCTTTCTTTCCATGAACACTAGATTAAAGGTAATGTAAGTCTGTGAATAAAATCCCTTCATAAATTTTCACAGGGCTGGTAAACTTGATTTCTTTCTATATGCAGCAGTGAATGGAAGGCATACTGTTACATCCTAGGAAGCTAAAACAGAAGAATGTTCTGAAAATTTGTCTTTTCAACAGAACACTATCTTATATTTGCTATTTGCATTGGAAGTTTACATAATACTATTTTTCTTGATCGTAAATGTACTATTTATCTAAGGTCATATAGAAAGCTGGTTATAGGTCTAATAGACTGTAGAACTAATAGAACTGTAAACTAATAAGTCAATTTTTGTGACTCTCTACCCCTATCTACATTAATTGGCATTTAGTGGGAAGACCATTTTTAAAGGATGTAATTGAATTTTAAGCCTTTTGAGAAAAAGCAAAACAAACAATTCTAGAATCAGTATGAACTTGCCTCTCATATCAAGCCATTCACCAAATTCATTTGTTTCTTCTGTATAATGTATTTTGATTTTGAGTATGGAATAAGATAAAAGCATAGGATTAACAGCCAGATAGACATGGGTTCAAATCATATCTGCCCCATATCTCTGGGAACATTACATTTCCTCTTTGAGCCTCATTTCCCTCTTTTACAAAATGAGAATTAAAATACCATAATTTTAGCCAGCAATGAGATGAGATTATGCACAGTATCAGTTACTGGCACTTGAACTCTTAGATATGTGTCCTCTAACACTTCTTGCTTACTTGGAAAAGATACAAAGCTTATCATTTGTAATCTTGGATGCTTACCTTTAAAAATTCTAACTCTGTCTCTTTTTCAGAAGCTCCCACATAGGTATTATGCAATTTGGGTAACTCTTCTTTGATATAGGATAAATCAAGTTTCTCCATCACTCTGGCGGGCAAATAGTGCTCCATTCTAAAGTAAGACACACCATGAACCTAGATAAAAGAATGTTTTCATAAGCAATTGTTTGCCTTTTATTGGAGTAAACCCTTTTCCTTCTATCTTAAAGTTCTTGCTTTGGCTAAGAGATGAAGTACTTCTATTTCTACCTCTCTCTCTGAGGAATGAGTTTTAGAAGAAATGCATCAGTCTTTCTTTTCTATTCAGTGAGATAAAATGACTGAACTGATCAGCAAGCTTGAGAAGTGTGACATTCAAGGGCCTCATATCACTCTAGTTTAGGATGAACGTTGTGAAGGATGCTGCTCCAGCAGCACAGCTTCTAGCCCCTTGCTTCCTCTTAGATCAATTTTATTTAGAAACATCAGGCTTTAAGTATACTGTGAGTTCTCCACACAGTAAGCTCTGCCAGGCTGCCAGCCCATCATGTGGAAGGCAGGAGATCCTTTTAATTTATATTTGACTAATAACTCCTGTGTATAGTCTCTATAGGTTAGAACTCAGGAGAAGGAGTAAGTGGTAGATATTCCTAAACTCCAAAACAGGATAACTTTAAACAGGAAAAAAAAATCCCACACTTCATGATTTTATATAATTGATATACATGGAGTGCTTGGTCATTCTGAGGAACCAAAGAAGCCTCAAAAATCTTCAGATCTAAACATCAAACACCTGAATCAGGTTTAGTCATTAACTATGTTAAAGGTAACAACACCAAACAAAAATGGTCCTGGAAAAAAACACAAATCCTACCTCTGGTTGATAATCTCCATACTCAGCCTGGAGAGCCAAGGATGCCAGCAATAAGGAAGTCTCATCATCACAGTGCATCCTTTCCTCCAAAATATCTTTTCGAAGCTGAAGGTAATACTGATGACACGTCAGAGTATGTCTGAAAAAACAAACACACACAGACATCTTGGCCTTTGATTTTGAATACTGGGGTGGTTTTTATTATAGGCATGTAAGGTTAATTTCCATGAGTTTATTACTAAGCTTATTATTAAGCTTTTAAGGCATAAGGATTAGATAAACTGTGTTGAAAGAAATATTACTTTTATGATAAAGCAGACATTATCATTGATTGGAATCAAGTAATTCAGTATCAGTAAGCTAAAGGGTCAAAAGACCAGTGTCCAAAAAGAGCAAAAGAGAAACTCTTGTGTACTCACTGTATTAGACTAACATCATCCATAAAAAATTTAATTCTGAAAAACAAAGTAAAATTAACAGTGGCTTTGGTCTTTTTCTTTGGTTCTTCTTTCCATCCCTCTGGGGCCACTTTGGTTAATTTTAAGTCAGGATCAACAAAGAAATATTCATTATCTAAACAGAATGAGAAAAATATTCAGATAAAATAAAAAAATACTTTAGTGTTTTCTTCCGATTTCTTCACTTTTTGGTCAGACTTGCATAAAAGAGTATCATATGAGAATATAAATACAAGACTGTTAAAAATGTGGCAGGGAGCTCTGAGACACTCCATTTAGATGGGAGGCAATATGGCCCACTCTTTTAAGAATGGCGGCTCTAAAGACATACAGTCCTAGATTCAACACCTGGTCACAACATTTACTATCCGTATGACACTGAATATATTATTTTACCTCTCTAGACATCAGTTTTCTTGGCTTTAAGATCAGGCTAGTGGGAATTCTTGCTTTACAGCATTGTTATAAGGATCAAATGACATAATGAATAAAAACACTTGTTAAAGCACACAGTACACGGTAAACATTTAATAAATATTAGCTAGTATACTTATTATTATTGAGCTACCAGCTGAAACCTAGAAGGAATGACATTTATCATTTTATTTTTTAATGTCATTAGTTAACTATTATTTACTCTCTACAAATAAAAGAATTATTCAATACAATTTGATTTTACCAGAATCTGTAAGAAATTAGGTATAGTATAAATAGATATTTGGATGAACTGAATCAGCTTCATGTAGACAATATTGACTGATTAGTCTAAAAGTGAAACTAGTAAAGTGATAGAACATCAGTAGGTACTAATTGACTATTTATTGTATGAGTCTACAGCATAAATTATTCATTTTTAAGGCACAATAATTCAATAAGCTATATTGAGGGAAATATTTCTTTTAGGATACAGAAGATATTAAGAGCTTATAGAGTTTTAGGATCCTTTAACCTGTCAATTGTCATTTATAGTACTTTGTTGCCTAAACTTTCCAAGTTAAATTTTGAGGTAAACAGGAATCTGAAATATTAAAGAGTAATTTATAAATATAATGATTTATTTAAAAAGGAGATGAATTCCAAAAAGTTTCTTACTGCTATGGCAACTCTAATTGATAAATAGGAGAAGTTTCTACTGAAGCTGTGTCTTAGACCACTGTGGTTGTGAACATCATGGGTTTAAGTGGATACAATATTTAAAAGATAATGTGAAATAACTAATTTTTAGCCTTCAATTGACATTTTAAAAAGTCACTGTGATTTTAGGATAGTAGACTAAATAAACTGATGTGGAAATTCAGAAATAAGGTCTTGCTATACATTCAGGCTCATATTAGGATACTAATTTCTAGAGTACACATGTAGACCATTAACATATAAAACGGTCCCTAAAATATAATTAAAATATATTTTTATATAACCATAGCAAAAAATAAAAAAATCTTCCCAGTCAGATACAGAAGGTGCCTAACAAACATAACTATTAAAACAATGAAAGTAGCTGGGAGAAGAAAGGGAGTTCCTAACTCACTTCTACTGACTAGTTCATTTAGTTACTAATTGTCAAAATGAGGTCAGGCATGGTAACAAACATAGGAAGTCTGCTTGTTGCTAAATTTCTATACTGTACTCTGAATATAAAATGTCTTGGTACCTTTGAGGGTAGCTAAAGCAAACAAATGATGCTCTACTAAGCCAATATGTGCCACAACCATATCAAACACATCTTTACATATAGTTTTGGTATCACAGGTCAGTTCCAGTCTTTGCCCGTTCAGAAGCATTATGTTTACTTTCCTTCGGTTATCCTCATTCTTCCCTTTCTTAGTCTACAATTGAAAAAATAAACGGCATTTATTAAAATAAGCATTATAAGAATTTTAACTGGTTTTTAACACTACTGAAATTATTTTCTAAGAGTGACACAAATTGGTTTTATTACTTACAAGAATAGACCGTGGCAAATCCAAAGATATAAATGGTTCAATTGTCATTTTCACAAACTCAGGGCCAAAGAAATTCTGCAAATCACATAAGCAGAATCAATATTTTTTACTATTTATTCTAGTTTTTTCCTTGAAAGGAAAAATAATGTAAGAATAATAAATTACATATGAAACTACAAAATCACCACATTAGAACTAGGTGATCTAAAACAAACGTTGAAGCTTTCATGAAGAGGTATACTGGAATTTACCAATAACAGAAATGGAGTATGCCTTACATTAAGTTGAAACAAGTTGTTCCCCATCTTTGTTTTCTACTATTGATGTCAAACATAATGCCTCACTTTTACACTGTTTTACAGGGTTTTCACTATTTGGCATCCAGATAGACTCAGACTCAAAAAAAAGGTCTTGAAGAAGTAATATAGAGTTATAAAGCTCATATAAGTATTTGGTTTAATATTGCTAATGCATGAAGTGATTGAACAGAATCTCATTGTCTTAGAAAGCGACATTCAGCCTAAAACAGATCGTAGGGTATGTGTGCTGGCTCACAACTAATCCCAATGCCTTGGGAGGCTAAGGCAGGAGGATCGCTTGAGGCCAGGAGTTTCAGACCAACCTGGGCAACATAGTTAGACCCTGTTTCTACAAAAAATAAAAAATTAGCTGGGCACTGTGGTGCATACCTGTAGTTCAGCTGCTTAGAGGGCTGAGGCCAGAGGATAACTTGTGCCCATGAGTTCCAGGCTGCTGTGAGCTATAATCACACCACTACACTCCAGCCTCACCAACAAAGTAAGACCCTACCTCTAAAAAAAATTAAAAGCAAACAGACAAAAACAAAAAAATTGGTCATAGTTAAAAGACATCTACTTTGTGCCTATATGTATATATCCACCTGTAATCACTATCTTGGAACCCTATGACACTGTACTTTTCGTTTTAAATAGTGGCAACTAGGGATAGTATCAGTCACATAGTCTCTGACCCCTGCCAATGTCCCCAGCAAGAAAATATTTCAGGAAATAAAGGACCCATGAGATGGGGAAAGTAGAGTGCAAACTCTGTATTTAGTGCTTCTCAATCTATGATTTCCCTTTTCTCCTTTTGTATATTCTGGGGTTTTGGCTAAGAGGGAGAACTAGTTTAGGAGACAACTTAAAACAAGTTAGACTCTGAGTGGGAGAAGGGTTGAGAAAAGACTGAAAGATCATATCTTAATGGGCAAAAGGTAGAATGAAACCAGAGCTAATCTTGAGGCCAGAAGCAAGTGGTCTGTGTGTATGTGTAGGTGTGTGCTTGAACTAATGAATGTTACCAGAGTTTTATTTTTGTTGGTTTCTTCTTTGCATTTGGTTGTACAGCTCACTGATTGCTTGGTGTAGGAATTCTATTCAATTTAATTGAGTGTGTAACATGTGACAGATACCATTTATGTAAAAGTAAAAGTTCAACATAAGGGGTTTATTAATATTCAATGAACCAATAGGACACATTTTAAACAAGAATAGAAATAGAGTAGAAAGAATGAAAGTGGAAGATAGCCGAATAGGAACAGCTCCAGTCTGCAGCTCCCAGTGTGATCGACACAGAAGACGGGTGATTTCTGCATTTCCAACTGAGGTACCTGGTTCATCTCACAGGGACTGGTTGGACAGTGGGTGCAGCAATCGGAGGATGAGCTGAAGCCGGACGGGGCATCACCTCACCCAGGAAGCCCAAGGGATAGAGGGATTTCCCTTTCCTAGCCAAGGGAAGCTGAGACAAACTGTACCTGGAAAAACGGAACACTCCCGCCCAAATACTGCACTTTTCTCACAGTCTTAGCAAGTGGCAGACCAGATTTTCTCCCGTTCCTGGCTCAGCAGGTCCCACACCCACGAAGCCTTGCTCACTGCTAGCGCAGCAATCTGAGATCAACTTCCGAGGCTGCAGCCTGGTCGGGGGAGGGATGTCTGCCATTGCTGAGGCTTGAGTAGGTAAACAAAACGGCTGGGAACCTCGAAGTGGGTGGAGCCCACCGCAGCTCAGCAAGGCCTGCTTCCTCTACAGACTCCACCTCTGTGGCCAGGGCATAGCTGAACAAAAGGAAGCAGAAACTTCTGCAGACTTAAATGTCCCTGTCTGACAGCTCTGAAGAGAGCAGTGGTTCTCCCAGCATGGCGTTTGAGCTCTGAGAATGGGTCCATGACCCCTGTAGCCTAACTGGGAGACACCTCCCAGTAGAGGCTGACAGACACCTCATACGGTTGGGTGCCCCTCTGGGATAAAACTTCCAGAGGAAAGATCAGGCAGCAATATTTGCTGTTCTGCAGCATCCACTGGTGATACCCAGGCAAACAGGGTCTGGAGTGGACCTCCAGCAAACTCCAACAGACCTGCAGCTGAGGGATCTGACTATTAGAAGAAAAATTAACAAACAGAAAGGAATACCATCAACATCAACAAAAAGGACATCTACACCAAACCCCATCTGTAGGTCACCAACATCAAAGACCAAAGGTAAATAAAACCACAGAGCAGAAAAGCTGAAAATTCTAAAAACCAGAGTGCTTCTTCTCCTCCAAAGGACTGCAGCTCCTCACCAGCAAACGAACAAAGCTGGACAGAGAATGACTTTGGCAAGTTGACAGAAGTAGGCTTCAGAAGGTCGGTAATAATAAACTTCTCTGAGCTAAAGGAGCATGTTCAAACCCATCACAAGGAAGCTAAAAACCTTGCAAAAAGGTTAGAGGAATGGCTAACTAGAATAAACAGTGTAGAGAAGACCTTAAATGACCTGATGGAGCAGAAAACCATGGCACAAGAACTTTGTGACACATGCACAAGTTTCAATAGCTGATTTGATCAAGTGGAAGAAAGGGTATCACTGATTGAAGATCAAATTAATGAAATAAAGCGAGAAGACAAGATTAGAGAAAAAATAGTAAAAAGAAACGAACAAAGCCTCCAAGAAACACGGAATATGTGAAAAGACCAAATCTATATCTGATTGGTGTACCTGACAGTGACAGGGAAAATGGAATCAAGTTGGAAAACACTCTGCAGGATATTATCCAGGAGAACTTCTCCAACCTAGAAAGGCAGGTCAACATTCAAATTCAGGAAATAAAGAGAACACCACAAAGATACTCCTTGAGAAGAACAATCCCAAGACACATAATTGTCAGATTCACCAAGGTTGAAATGAAGGAAAAAATGGTAAGGGCAGCCAGAGAGAAAGGTCGGGTTACCCACAAAGGGAAGCCCATCAGACTAACAGCGATCTCTCGGCAGAAACCCTACAAGCCAGAAGAGAGTGGGGGCCAATATTCAACATTCTTAAAGAAATAATTTTCAACCCATAATTTCACATCCAGCCAAACTAAGCTTCATAAGTGAAGGGGAAATAAAATCCTTTACAGACAAGCAAATGCTGACAGATTTTGTCACCATCAGGCCTGCCTTACAAAAATTCCTGAAGGAAGCACTAAACATGGATAGGAACAACCAGTACCAGCCACTGCAAAAACATGCCAAATTGTAAAGACCATCGATGCTAGGAAGAAACTGCCTCAATTAATAGGCAAAATAACCAGATAACATCATAATGACAGGATCAAATTCACACATAACAATGTTAACCTTAAATGTAAATGGGCTAAATGCCCCAATTAAAAGACACAAACTGGCAAATTGGATAAAGAGTCAAGACTCATCAGTGTGCTGTATTCAGGAGACCCATCTCACGTGCAGAGAAACACATAGGCTCAAAATAAAGGGACATAGGAAGATCTACCAAGCAAATGGAAAGCAAAAAAAAAAAAAAAAAAAAAAAAAAAAAAAAAAGGCAGGGGTTGCAATCCTAGTCTCTGATGAAACAAACTGTAAACCAACAAAGATCAAAAGAGACAAAGAAGGCCATTACATAATGGTAAAGGGATCAATTCAACAAGAAGAGCTAACTATCCTAAATATATATGCACCCAATACAGGAGCACCCAGATTCATAAAGGAAGTCCTTAGAGACCTACAAAGAGACTTAGACTCCCACACAATAATAATGGGAGACTTTAACACTCCATTGTCAGTATTAGACAGATAAGGAGACAGAAGGTTAAGAAGGATATCCAGGACTTAAACTCAGCTCTGCAACAAGTGGACCTAATAGACATATCCAGAACTCACCACCCCAAATCAACAGAATGTACATTCTTCTCAGCACCACATCACACTTATTCTAAAATTGACCACATAATTGGAAGTAAAACACTACTCAGCAAATGTAAAAGAACAGAAATCACAACAAACGGTCTCTCAGACTACAGTGCAATCAAATTAGAGCTCGGGATTAAGAAACTTACTCAAAACTGCACAACTGCATGGAAACTGAACAACCTTCTCCTGAATGACTACTGGGTATATAACAAAATGAAGGCAGAAATAAAGATGTTCTTTGAAACCAATGAGAACGAAGACACAACATACCAGAATCTCTGGGACACATTCAAAGCAGTGTGTAGAGGGAAATTTATAGCACTAAATGCCCACAAGAGAAAGCAGGAAAGATATAAAATCAACACCCTAACATCACAATTAAAAGAACTAGAGAAGCAAGAGCAAACAAATTCAAAAGCTAGCAAAAGGCAAGAAATAACTAAGATCAGAGCAGAACTGAAGGAGATAGAGACAGAAAAAACCCTTCAAAAAAATCAATGAATTTAGGAGCTGGTTTTTTGAAAAGATCAACAAAATTGATGTACTGCTAGCAAGACTAATAAAGAAGAAAAGAGAGAAGAATCAAATAGACACAATAAAAAACGATAAAGGGGATATCAACATCGATCCCACAGAAATACAAACTACCATCAGAGAATACTATAAACACCTCTATGCAAATAAACTAGAAAATCTAGAAGAAATGGATGAATTCCTGGACACATACACCCTCCCAAGACTAAACCATGAAGAAGTCAAATCTCTGATTAGACCAATAACAGGCTCTGAAATTGAGGCAATAATTAATAGCCTACCAACCAAAAAAAGTCCAAGACCAGAGAGACTGACAGCCGAATTCTACCAGAGGTACAAAGAGGAGCTGGTACCATTCCTTCTGAAACTATTCCAATGAATAGAAAAAGAGGGAATCCTCCCTAACTCATTTTATGAGGCCAGCATTGTCCTGATACCAAAGTGTGGCAGAGACACAACAAAAACAGAGAATTTTAGACCAATATCCCTGATGAACATCAATGTGAAAATCCTCAATAAAATACTAGCAAACCAAATCCAGCAGCACACCAAAAAGCTTATCCACCAGGATCAAGTGGGCTTCATCCCTGGCATGCAAGGCTGGTTCAACATAGGCAAATCAATAAATGTAATTCAACACATAAACAGAAACAACTACAAAAACCACATGATTATCTCAATAGATGCAGAAAAGGCCTTTAACACAATTAAACAGCCCTTCATGCTAAAAACTCTCAATAAACTAGGTATTGGTGGAACTTACTTCAAAATAATAAATGCTATTTACGACAAACCCACAGCCAATATCATACTAAATGGACAAAAACTGGAAGCATTCCCTTTGAAATCCAGCACAAGACAAGGATGCCCTCTCTCACCACTCCTATTCAACATAGTGTTGGAAGTTCTGGTTAGGGCAATCAGGCAAGAGAAAGAAATAAAGGGTATTCAATTAGGAAAAGAGGAAGTCAAATTGTCCCTGTTTGCAGATGACATAATTGTATATTTAGAAAACCCCATCGTCTCAGCCCCGAATCTCCTTAAGCTGATAAGCAACTTCAGCAAAGTGTCAGGATACAAAATCAATGTGTAAAAATCACAAACATTTCTCTACACCAATAACAGACAAACAGCCAAATCATGAGTGAATTCCCATTCACAATTACTACAAAGAAAATAAAATACCTAGGAATTCAACTTACAAGGGATATAAAGGACCTCTTCAAGCAGAACTACAAACCACTGTTCAACGAAATAAAAGACACACACAAATGGAAGAAAATTCCATGCTCACGGATAGGAGGAATCAATATCATGAAAATGGCCATACTGCCCAAAGTAATTTATAGATTCAATACCATCCCCATCAGACTACCAATGACTTTCTTCCCAGAATAAGAAAAAACTACTTTAAAGTTCATATGGAACCAAAAAAGAGCCCACATAGCCAAGACAATCCTAAGCAAAAAGAGCAAAGCTGGAGGCATCATGCTACCTGACTTCAAACTATACTACAAGTCTACAGTAACCAAAACAGCATGGTACTGGTACCAAAACAGAGATATAGACCAATGGAACAGAACAGAGGCCTCAGAAATAACACCACACATCTACAACCAACTGATCTTTGACAAACCTGACAAAAACAAGAAATGTAGAAAGGATTCCCTATTTAATACATGGTGCTGGGAAAACTGGCTAGCCATATGTAGAAAACTGAAACTGGATCCCTTCCTTCCACCTTATACAAAAATTAATTCACAATGGATTAAGGACTTAAATGTTAGACCTAAAGCCATAAAAATCCTAGAAGAAAACCTAGGCAATACCATTCAGGACATGGGGATGGGTAAGGACTTCATGACTAACACACCAAAAGCAATGGCAACGAAAGCCAAAATAGACAAACAGTATCTAATTAAACTAAAGAGTGTCTGTATGGCAAAAGAAACTACCATCAGCGTGAACAGGCAACCTACAGAATGGGAGAAAATTTTTGCAATCTACCCATCTGACAAAAGGCTAATATCCAGAATCTACAAAGAACTTCAACAAATTTACAAGAAACAAACAAACAACCCCACTGAAAAACAGGCAAAGGATATGAACAGACACTTCTCAAAAGAAGACATTTATGCAGCCAACAGACACATGAAAAAATGCTCATCATCACTGGTCATCAGAGAAATGCAAATCAAAACCACAATGAGATACCATCTCATGCCAGTTAGAAAAGCAATCATTAAAAAGTCAGGAAACAACAGATGCTGGAGAGGATGTGGAGAAATAGGAACGCTTTTACACTGTTGGTGGGAGCGTAAAGTAGTTCAACCTTTGTGGAAGACAGTGTGGCGATTACTCAAGAATCTAGAACTAGAAACACCATTTGACCCAGCGATCCTATTACTGGGTATATACCCAAAGGATTATAAATCACGCTACCATAAAGACACATGCACATGTATGTTTATTGCAGCACTGTTCACAATAGCGAAGACATGAAACCAACCCAAATGTCCATCGATGATAGACTGAATAAAGAAAATGTGGCACATATACACCATGGAATACTATGCAGCCATAAAACAGGATGAGTTCATGTCCTTTGCACAGACATGGATGAAGCTGGAAACCATCATTCTAAGCAAACTATCACAAGGACAGAAAACCAAACACCACATGTTCTCACTCATAGGTGGGAAATGAACAATGAGAACACATGGACACGGGGCGGGAAACATCACACACCAAGTTCTGTTGGGGGGTGGGGGGCTGGGGGAGGGATAGCATTAGGAGAAACACCTAATGTAAATGATGAGTTGATGGGTGCAGCAAACCAACATGGCACATGTCTACCTACATAACAAACCTGCATGTTGTGCACATGTACCCTAGAACTTAAAGTATAATAATAAAAAAAAAAGAATGAAAGTGGTCTGCCATGGGAAACACAGAATATAATAAAGATCAACTATGGAAACAGGGTATGAAGAAGTTAAGATGTGTCTGCACCAAAAGAAAAAAAAATCCTAAACATTTATGCTGTGGGAAAGAATATTAATTCAAACTGTACCTCCAAACCCCATTACCCTTTTCAGCCTCAAAAATATAACCTCCAGCTCTTTTCAGAAAAAATACTAGGTAGTCTTTTAATGACCAGTAGTTCAAATTATCTAATCACTGACACAAAATATCTCTGGCAAAGAAATGTTTGGTTTGAAATAGCTAGAAATTGACTGCCTAAAAAAGGAAACAGGTTTTTAGCGAGATGACATATCACAGTGGCATGCTATAAAGGTACGATCTATAATTTATGAATTGTGAATGAACCAAAGTCTAGCTTAGCTCTCTAAAACTGTGGTTTAGGAAAAAGGGGTGTATATGTACGTGCAGTTTGTGCTGTTCACTGAATTATTATATTGGAAGTCCACACTATATTGTATGACATCCTGCCTATTACTTAGTTTTGATGTAGATATTGGTAATAATGAATTGATGAAGCCCTATTGAGTTTCTTCCTTTTACCTGAAATATGTTCAGTTATATTTTATTGGAATCTAAAAACTTTAAAAATTGGATAGTGTTTTATAAACTACAATCCAATTCCACATTTTAAAAATTAGCACAATGAGGAATAAAGAGGTTTTAAAATTTACATAAAGTCATATAACAGCATCATAAGGAATAGAATACATGTCTTCCAATTTGTAGTTCAATGCAATTTTCACCAACCAACAGCTTTTTCTCCTTAGAATACTGTGAAGGAAATTTGAATTCTATTATCTTCAGAGCATACAAATGTGCTTTTAAGATAATTCTCTGAAGCAAAGAACAGAAAATGAAAACAGTATAGGGTAATACAATTTCTTAGTGCAGAACTAAAAAGAAAAAAATCATTCTAGATTTTACCAGGTTTACTATTATTTATTTTGCTTTTTAAGAATTATTTTAAACTAATGTTACAAATGAAATATTGCTTCACCTTTCAAGCTGATGATAGTAAAAAAGAATGATAATATCCAGAATACATAAGAATATGAAGAAACAGGCACGATCATAGGAAGCAAAAACTGGCACAAACTTTTGGGAGGGTAATTTGACAATACGTATCAAATGTCTTAAACGGTGTCTGCCTTTGAATTGACTATTTTACTTGGAGAAAGTTATCTGCAATGAGTTAGCTGCAGGGATGTTAATTAAAGCAGCGGTCCCCGATCTTTTTGGCACCAGGGACAGGTTCCGTGGAAGAAAATTTTTCCACAGACAGGTAGGAGGGGATGGTTTTGGGATGAAACTGTTCCACCTCAGATCATCAGGCATTAGATTCTCATAAGGAACATGCAACGCAGTTCACAACAGGGTTCATGCTCCTGTGAGAATCTAGTGCTGCTGCTGATCTGACAGGAGGTGGAGCTCAGGTGGCAATGCTAGCTCCTTGCTCACCTCCTGCTGTGACCAGGCCATGGACCAATGCTGGCCTGTGGAGCCCTGCTTTAGAGCATTACTTTCAACAGCTAATTAGAAACATTTAAAATGTCCAGTAATTGGAACTGACTAAAGAAATTACAGTACACAGTAAAGTCACATAATAAAGTATTTTATAACACTAACAATAATGTAGAAGTTGTAAAACATTTAAGATATTTTACATGAGAAAAGAACTGTTCATTTTGATTTTATGTTTATAAAAATATATTGTCATAGGTTGAAAGAAAAATACATCAACTAGAAGAACAGATACATAAAAATATCCACCCACAAGATACAAGATACAGACTTGGTCCTTCCTGTCTTTGGATACTGTAAATGTGAGGATATGATGTTTGGAGCTAATGGAGTCCTCTTTTAACCAGAAAGTGAATTATTACTAAAATTCTGAGAATCACAGAGCAGCAAGATGAAATGCACTTGATAACATTCTTGAACTTTGGAATTAACCTTGAACTTTCCATGTCTGATCTTCTCAATATATGGAATAATAAATTTCTTAATATGAAAAAATAATCCCCCACAATAATGAAGATAGCTAGTTAACTTTAAGGATTATGAATATACTTTTAAAGTATATAGTTAGGACACTCTAAATTCATCTAAGTTATTTTTTAGATAAAATAATGAAAATAGCTAAATGTTTATTTTAAAATCAACCAAAAAGATATTTAATCCCAGTGGAAATGAATATGGGATTTCAGTTTCATCTACAGGTAACTTTAGATGGATACCTGTAGCAATTTTTAAAAGTACTTTGCCCAAGAGTTCCCTGTGAGAGCAGGTTTAGATGTGTAGTAACCTGAGAATCAACTTACCCTCAGTTTTCTTTGAGTCATGGCTGTTTCTAGGGCAATTTCTCTTAACGGATCCCTGGTGATGTCAAGCATGGACGCTTTGATTGTGTCTCCTGGATATAGGCTCAACCGAGACTGTCTAAGGGCCATTTTGGCTTGTAGCTGCATCAGTTCTTCCTCTTGCCGTTTTAGCATGATCTCTTGATTAATTAAGTTGCCTTCAAAGGGTGTTTCATATTGTCTGCTATATAGAAAAGAGGAGACAGGTGAGGATTGGGAGGAAAACAATTGTTTTAAGGCTAATCAAGCAAATTTCATTTTAAGTAAGGTTGCAAGAGTTTAAACAAATTTTATTTTCCCATCTCAGAAGAATCTTTACATTACACAGTATGGTATGAAGAAATATATAGGCTGGGCATGGTGGCTCATGCCTGCAATCCCAGCACTTTGGGAGGTGAAGGCGGTTGGATCGCTTGAGTCCAGGAGTTCGAGACCAGCCTGGGCAACATGGTGAAACCCTGTCTCTACAAAAAAATACAACAAATTAGCTGGCCATGGTGGCACACACCTGTAGTCCTGGCTACTCAGGAGGCTGAGGTGTAGAATTGATTGAGCCTGGGGGTAAGGGGGTTGAGGCTGCAGTGAGCTGGGATGGTATTACTGCACTCCATCCTGGGTGACAGAAGAGAGGAGAGGAAAGGAGAAAAGAGGGGAAGGGGGAAGGGGGAAGGGGAGGGGGAGGGAGAGGGGGAGGGAGCGGGGGAGAGGGAGAGGGGAAGGGAAGGAAATACATATATGATCTTTGTCCCCAGTTCCTGACAAAGAGCTCCTAAAACCCTTGAAGTCTCTTGGGTGTTAGGAGCCTCTTGTTCTAGTAATGAAACTGATCATACTACCTATATAAAACAGAATTTGGACATTACTCCCCGTTCTCCCTATCCCCTTAAGTAGCCTTATTTTTCTTCAAGGCACCATCATTATATGGCAGTATATTATTTACTTGCTTTTTCATGGTTTATTGGCTACTTCTCATTTCCCTCAAGGGACTTTCTGTGTTGTTCACAACTCTATCTCCAGTATCTGAAAGCACCTAGTACATGGCAGGTGCTCAATGATTACCTGTAAAGTCAATAACTGAATGTAATTTTATGGCCCTCTCTCACTTAAGGGGAGGGTCAAAGATAATAATAAGACCTTGAATCTGCACATTTAAACTCAAACCTGTTATTTTCATAAAATATTACAGTCTTTTAGCTAAAATTATTTTACAGCAGAGCTACTAAAAGGTAGCAAAATAATTATCATTGTTATCTCTCCAAATATGATATCTAACCAAAACTTCTATAAAAACTGCAAAGTTTGAGACAAAAATCAAAAACAAAAACAACTCTGTTTGGAGTCAGAAACAAAGGTTACCTCAACAAGCAGAGAGGCACAGAAGCAGTGGGAATGTACTACGTATAAACTTACTTCAAAAGCTAGTACATAAAAAGGCTTAGAAATTCTCTTTGGAAACTACTTTGAATGCCCTTTTTGGTCACTGAAAGACGCTTTTGATAGCTCAGTATAAAAAAATTACTCATTCTGCTGCATCTGACTCATAATTTCCTGTTAATCTCCCCCCATCCCACTATGGTACAAATCAATAGCACTCTCTGGATCTGTTTTGCCATTTTATTCTAGCTAAAGGGAATAGAAACTTTTGTCAAGAAGCATGCAATATGTACAAATACAGCACTATTCATAGATTTTACAAATGTGTGACCTAAAGAAGAAAACAAGACTCCTGATTACGTACCAGCATGTTAGGGATATTATCAGAGTGTGTTCTGCAAGTGAATAGGAATTTGGACAGTATTTTAAGCTAATATGTATTTAAGTGGGCAGAAAAAAGATGGAACTAGTTAAAAGAAATAGAGTTTAGCAACTTAACATTAGATAATACATACATACAACTAACAATCTACTTCCTGAAATATTTTTCTTTCACCTAAACCTATATCTAACTCAGATGCTATGAATACCACATGGGCTTTTTCTCCCCATGAAGTATGAAAAAAAAGACAGTTTACCCCTTAAACATAGATTTGACAAATATGGCGGCCTTAATGTTTCCTTGAATAAAATCTGGAAACAATCAAAATTAGGATTCTCTCATAACCTTGACATTTTTGAGGTTCCTTATCAAGAAAATTAACATAAGGCTCCCAAAATGATTTAATTTCGCTTGAATATGTTTTAAAATTTAAAAATCCAAACCAAATGGGCTGTAAATCAATTGTTAACACATATCCCAGTGCTTCTTCAGGTGTTATCTCTATTTCAGTTGTTTATATTAAAAGCAAGAGTTTTCAATTGGCTAAAGTGGGCATAATAGTAACTACTCATAGGTTCCAAATTAGATGCATAGAGAAAAGTCACTTCTAAAACACATTCTCCCTCAATTCAACACTGAGCTTAGTGCAATTCAATATTGGCTTACTTTTGTTGTTCATCCCCACATGCTTTTGCTTCATTAGAAAAACAGAGTAAACAGACAACCTACAAAATGGGATAAAATATTTGCAAACTATGCATCTGACAAAGGTCTAATACCCAGCATCTACAGGGAACTTAAATTTACAAAAGAAAAACAAACAACTCTATTAAAAAGTGGGCAAAGCACATGAAAGACACCCTTAAAAGAAGATATACATGCAGCCTACAAGCATTGAAAAAAGCTTCATATCACTGATCATTACAGAAATGCAAATCAGAACCACAATGAGATACCATCTCACAACAGTCAGAATGGCTATTATTAAAAAGTAAAAAAATTACAGATGCTGACGAGGTTGCAGAGAAAAGGGAACACTTACACACTGTTGGGAGAGCAAATTAGTTCAATCATTGTGGAAAACGATATGGAGATTCCTCAAAGAGCTAAAAGCAGAACTACCATTAGACCCAGCAATCCCATTACTGGGTATATACCCATAGGAATATAAATCACTCTACCGTAAAGACACATACACACGAATGTTCACGGCAGCACTATTTACAATAGCAAAGAATGGAATCAACCTAAATGTTCAGAATGACAGATTGTATAAAGAAAATGTGGTACATATACACAATGGAATACTATACAGCCATAAAAAAGAATGAGATCATGTCTTTTGTGGGAACATGGATAGAGGTGGAGGCTATTATCCTTAGCAAACTAATGCAGGAACAGAAAACCAAATACCACATGTTCTCACTTGTAAGTGGGAGCTAAATGATAAGAACTTCTGAACACAAAGAAGGAAACAACTGATACTGGGGTCTACTTGAGTGGGGAGAGTGGGAGGAAGGAGAGGAACAAAAAAGATAACTGTTGTGTACTGGGCTTAATACCTGCTTGACAAAATAGTATGTATACAAACCCCTGTCACGTGTTTATATAACAAACCTTCACATGTACCCCCAAACCGAAAATAAATGTTAAAAAATAAAAAGAAAACTGTAACGTAAAGCATAGATCTTTGTCTCCTACCTCTTTGTTCAAAAGTATCAAAATGGGGTCATCACAAGGACACAGTAATATAAAATGCTATTATGCAAATATAGATTGCTTTAGGTAAATGAATACTTACTGGAGTTTTCCTCAAAGAAAAAAATTATAGACTATTTTAAAAAGTACAAAAAACAAAAGAAACAACTTTAATTAAAAGTGGACCTTTAGGCCAGGTGCAGTGGCTCCCACCTGTAATCCCAGCACTTTGGGAGGCTGAGGTGGGTGGATAACTTGACGTCAGGAGTTCAAGACCAGCCTGGCCAAAATGGTGAAACCCCACCTCTACTGAATATACAAAACTTAGCCGGGCATGGTGGCAGGTGCCTGCAATCCCAGCTACTCGGGAGGCTGAGGCAGGAGAACTGCTTGAACCTGGGAGACAGAGGTTGCAGTGAGCTGAGATAGCGCCACTGCATTACAGTCTGGGCAGCAAAGCGAGACTCTGTCTCAAAAAAAAAAAAAGTGGACCATTAACTAAAGAATAATTTTAGTGTAAAGTATTTAATTACGTACACTCTAAACTGTGAATAGTCTGTTTTAATCACATGGCTAGGGTTACCTGATCTATTAATAGTTTACAGGTGTGAAACAGTGTCTGGCAGAATTAATTAGCTAAGGGGCAAGTTTCTGTTTATTTCTAAATGATTCTTTTCTATTTGGTAGCATCTGAATTAAACAAACTGAAATACAGAATTAGAAAGGATTCCCACATTTTAGAAGTAAATTCTCAAGCAACCTCTTGTTCTCTAATATATTACAAATTTGAAATTAATGCTTAGCATTAACTACATCTTTTGTTCATGTAAGGGACCTGGGCATACACGACAAAGACACACATCACTATTGACTTGACACCTTTCAGTTTAAACAACATAAATCAACACACAGCTATAATACCACCATCCTAAGCTGAGCACAAACATAATACTAACACCTTATAAGAAATTCACTAAGTATGTCAGTATAAAAATGAACTCTAAATAGCCTAAATCAGGCTTTAAAAAAAAGTACCACATAACCTCTTTTAAGCCAGGAAAGATACAGTGAATAATTAACCTTTTACATAATAGGTTACTTAGTAGTAACCTACTCACTATTCATTCAACAAATAAATACTCACTGAAAGCTTGCTGGCTGAGACTATTCCAACCTTTCAAGAAAGGTATCTTAGAAATCAAGGTTTCCTATCTTCTCACAGATTTTTAATCCCATGCCTTGACCTTCCTGTTATTTTATATTCATATTGATAATTTTAAAAATCAAGCACAACTATAAATAATTAGAGCCAATCATGATTTTAAAAGATTCCAATACTTTGTCTTTCATATAATTGATGAATTTCTGAGAACTTTTATAAAAACAAAGAGAGCTAGGGGAAAGGAAGAGAAAAGGAAAATGCAAAAAATAAAGGAAAAAGGATAGTAAAAAAACAAATTCTACTTGATTCACACCTGTAATCCCAGGACTTTGGGAGGCTGAGGCGGGTGGATCACTTGAGGTCAGGAGTTCGAGACCAGCCTGGCCAATATGGTGAAACCCCATCTCTACTAAAAATTCAAAAATTAGCCAGGCACATTGGTGCATACCTGTAATCCCAGCTACTCGGGAGACTGAGGCAAAAGAATTGCGTGAACCTGGGAGAAGGAGGTTGCAGTGAGCCGAGATTGCGCCACTGCACTCCAGCTTAGGCAACAGAGCAAGACTCCGTCTCAAAAAAAAAAAAAAAAATTCCATTTAATTCAAATAAAAAACAAACACTGGTCACTGGAAATGTATCATCACTACTTTTTCATGACATACCTCGGTCTCTGTGACTGGCCTTGACTTAAGGTTTCATCTACCCCTGGGAGACCACTGCTGGATTCAAACCTCTTTGAGGCTTCACTTCTTCTCACTAATTATGAATGAAAAAGAAATAATGGCACAGGTGATAGAAACATGAGAGTAATTTCATTTAAAACTCAAACACTTAGCAGACATAGAGTTGTACAAATCTAATCCACAGAACAAAATTAATGACATAATGTTATTAAACTCTTTTGAGGTAAATCATGTTACTTTTAAAGACAATGAATTATTATCTCTGTAATGAAAAGGACTACATCGTTATTTGAAGAAACTGCTATTTAGTTTCTATAATACTACTACTGAGTAACCAGCAGCTTTTTTAAATTTTTCAATTTTATACAGTATTATTCTTTCTGGCAATTTATATTAATATTTGAACACTATTGAAAATAATAATAATCGTGGTTTCTTAAAAACAGTTTGCTTGTTTCAGATGCCTCCTACCTTGTCTGAAATCTGATTCAGAGGAAATAATAGATGGACTTTCACTGGAGGTACTAAAGACATCACCATGATAAGTTTTGTATCTTCGAACTGGTTCTAAAAGGATTAAAACAAAAAGATTAGAAAGCAAACTCATTAGCTATTCCACATAAATCAAAATATTAATTTTAATCCTGTGGGACTAAAACATTTTATACATTGCTTTAAATTTACCAATTGCTGGAGTGTATTCAAATAATGCGTTCCAATAATGGGTTTAGTATACTGGTTATGAGCACGGACTCTGGAGCCAGACTGCCTCAGTTTGAATCAGTTCCACCACTTTCTAGTGTGTGACCTTAGGAAAGTAATTTAATCTCCCCATGACTCTTCTTTTAATTCAGCCAAAGAGGGGGTATAATAATAGTGCACATCGCATAAGGTTGTGAGAATTAAATGAATTAACATACACGAAGCTTTCAGAGCACACACTATGTAAGCATCATTATCACAGTTTTTCAATGTTTACTATGTGTAATTCTCTGTTAGATTCTATAAGGAATAGACAATCTAAAGACACAACAATCTCAAAGAATTTGAAATGTGGAAGACAAGTACCCCAATATTGACACAGAATGCTTAGTTCCACCAGAATAAGATAAGCATTTGGAAGGGGGTACTGTGTAGGTTTGTGCAGAGTGTGCACTGTACAAGAGGGCCGAGCCCAGGGGCAAGTGTGGACTAGAATCTAAATCCTACCTTCTAAGTATTTCTGAACCATCCCCTCTTCTTCAGCTGCATTGTTTCTATCACTGAGCACTATTCATGTCACTCCTGAACTACTACCTGTCTCCTAAATCCCCTTTCTGCAGTTTTGCTCCTTTACATAATTCACATTATAGAAAGTTAACTTCCCAGAAATGAAAATCTGAGCTATTATATTTCTTAAAATCCTTGAAACTAGAGTCTTCAACATACAGTTTAAAAAAACTTCTTAGCTTGGTATTCAAAGCCTTTTATAAGCTGGTCCTCAACTAGATTTATTTTATTTTTTAGAGACAGGGTCTCATTCTGTTGCCTAGGCTGGAGTGCAGTGGTGCAGTCATAGCTTACCGCAGTGCTGGACTCCTGGGTTCAAGCTATCTTCTCGTCTCAGCCTCCCAAGTAGCTGGGACTAGAAGCATGTGCCACCACGCCTGGCTCCCAACTACATTTATAGCAGTGTCTCTTTATATTTTGAAGTCACAGATTCATTTGTGAGAATTGGGCAAAAAGTATATATATGTACACATACACACAATATATAAAAGACACACATACATATATATAATCAAAGTTTTGAGGAGTGGGAACACATACTCACACATATATTTTTTCCATCTCCTATATATACACATATATACACACACACGTATATACACACACACATACACACAAACACAACAATTTAAATATAAATTTAAAAACTCAATTCAGGTAAAAGCCTTATCTCCATCCACTTCCCTAAACGAATTCTGTACCTGTGTTACTAAATTTGCAGATAATCAAAAGCATATTAACTTTTAGCTTCCTTTCTGAAGGATACCTTCTGTTAGAAACACCGCTCTTCCCCTTCTTCTTTACCTGAATATCTTTTTTTTCCTTAACCTTTAAAGGAAGCCTCTATCTAAAAGCTTCTATGACCACATAAAGGCTGAGTTAGACATTGCTCCTCTTACTTTCACGTTGCCTCATGCTTAATTGCAACTCTTACACTACTTTGTAGTTCTCTACTTGTTTGTTTCCTCAACTAAATTATAAGTTCTCTGAGAAAAAGAATGTTGTCTTTTTTAGATGTACTTCTAGTACCTAGTCTAGCAAGTACCTGGTACATAGCAAGCACAAAATGAATATTTTCTGAGTGAATAAATGTATATAAGTGGTATATAAAGGTCATTGGTGACCTTTAAGACAACTATTTTCATTGCATGAACAGGTCAGAGGCCAAATCAGAGAGGGTTAAAGAAGGACTAGATGGTAAGAATTTGAGAGAATGAGTATCCAGTATTCTTTCAAGAATTTTGAGGATTTGGGAAGCAAAAAGAGGTTAAAAAAATAGATTTTCCCCCCCACAGAAGAATGTCTGTGCTTGATTTCAGGTGGTGGATAATAAGCCCGTTGAGTGGGAGAGACTGAAGTTGCAAATGGTAGTGGGAAAAACTGATTAAAAAAAATGTTTTGAAGGAAACAGGAGATGGAAAAAAGAACACATGTGGGACGAGTAGACTGGCAAGGAGGAAAAATCGTACCTTCTTAAAAGAGGTAACTAACAGACAAGGGAAAAGGTGAAAATACAGAGGCAATCCCAAGATATTCATATCATAATGTTGCCTGGAAATAAAAAGTCAATCACCTCTTGGGAGCCTGTTTGGCTAAGGCTTGAGAAGATTAAAGAAATTCTGACATGAACAATGTTGATAAAAGTCAGCAAAAAGTACATGAAAGCTTTCATGTAGCCATGAAGATGTAGGGTAGGCTAGAATACCTAAATTTTAGTGGAACCAATTAGAATTTTCTTGTGTCTTTTTTTTTTTTTTTTGACACTGAAGAAAGGAGACCCTGGGAAGTATCTAAAACTGGGGAGTGACACGAAGTGCACGGCAGTAGAGAATCAAGGTGGGTGAGGAATTCTTTTTTGCTAGTCTGCAAACCTGAGGACAGTCTTCATTCACATGATGAATTATTCCTTATGTTGGAAGGTGTTTAATAGAGATTCTTAACAGAAAAAGAATAATAAGTGAAATAGTTAAATGGTACCATAGAAACCAGGTTTGTGGAACCAGAATAGGGATGATGAACTGGAAATTGAGAGTTCACGCCCCAAGAAAGGATAAGAGTCACATTGAGACAAAGCTTTAAATAAATGCGAGAAGAAGTATAGATGACTGGCCACAGACTCCATGGACAGAAAGTTCTGCACTGTTTCTAGGATAATGTTTACTTGGAGAACTAGGAATAATATTGCATACTTGACTTTGTCTGGCTTTGTGTATGGTGAACAGAAATATCAATAATACTACCATTGAGTTTTAGAATTGAAAAATCAAGGTATTTACCAGTACTTTTTTTTTTCTAAATGATTGCATCCTACCACAGGAAAGTCTTATGATAAAATAAACAATTTAAAATAATCCTCTGGCTCATTATGAATGTAATTTGAATGGACTGTAGAGATGGAAAACAATAATTTTATTTAATACTAATTTAAATTGAATGAATACAGTACATTATATGCAAGTTATATTTTTACTTAAGAGGAACTGCCATTTTCAAGGAACACCAAAGTACATTTGTTTTATTGTTACAGAATCCTCATGCTAAATTTTTAAGGGACTTTTCCAAAAAAACTTAACCAAATTGCAAACCCGGAATTGCAACATACAGGACAATAAGACCAATAAGGCCATGGATAAGAACCAAATCTAAACAGGCAGTATGGTTTTAATACCTTACAGAGAAAAGTAGAAGTCACAATAAACCTGTTCAATAAAATGAGTAAAGAACTTTTAGTCACTTGGATGTTATGCCTTGTTACAATTTCACACCCCATATTAAGTAATAAATGAATTTACTGTTTCACAGCTATTTTTGCAAAGTGGCTGTAAGATCATAAATAAATTTTAATCTGAATTTCCATTCTTTGGTGGTACTTTATAATTGTTCTTATATTGTTTCACATATCCATATTTCCTCACCCTTACTACTACCCTATGTTTTATTTTCTTTTTTCTTCAGTTCATTCTGACACTACTAATAAACTTTTTTCAATCTCTGGGTTCCTTCTGTAAAACAAACAAATGCAACTTTGACTAACCACTCTTAAAAACATAATAAATCATTTTCTCTTCATGAACTATTGGTCTGTAAATGTTTTCAGTAATACACCTTCGGGGAGGAGGTTATTACCTTATGATACTTTACTGCTTTATAGTAATAGAGCACTGGTACTCCAAAACACAAATGGGATAACTTGCTTTGCCTACCAGGGGTAGAAAGACTTTTTTCTTTTTCTTCAAATACTGGGGTAGGGGTGGGTGTATCTATGTTAACTGAAGTAGTAAGAATCTTTTTTGTGAGCTTCTTGTGTTCTGAAGTGTGTCTTGGAAAATTTATGAATAATAAATTTAACGTTTTCAGGTGTTGTTATAAAATTACATGTTCTTTACCAAGAGAATCTTGCAGTGGTATATATGGAGAGGCACATTTTCCATGTTTACAAGTCATCTGAGCAGAAACATTTCTTGGTTCTCTGAGATGACCTGCACATAAAGGTATCTAGTAGGCACTAACCAGATAGAAGTGGTTTTCTTCCTCTGTTCTGGTCTGTTGAAGAGAGGTAATATCTAATTGTCAATGAGGTATGCTAACATTACTAACTATTTTTCTTTTTAGAGGATTCAGACACACAAACATGTTTTCTATTTTTGAGTGTATAATTCCAGCACTTTAGATTTGATACAGATCCCAGGAATGTGGTATTAATCGGGTGATTTTCAAAAAACTGTTTATTATGGAAACTTCAAACAGACACAAAAATAAAGAGTATAATGAATCTTCATGTACCCATTTCCCAGTACCAACAAAACCTGGCTGGTATTTTAACTAGAATGTATCAGACTATTTTTTTAAACCAAAAAGATGCTTCTACATACTTACAGAATATTACAAAGTTTTCTGAATGCCAAAATTCTTGAATCATGTGCAATGGACCTATTAGGATAACCAATACACATTAAATGCATGTGTAGCCACCTTCATTGCAATGTTATAACTGTAATGGTAAAATTTTAAGCTTTCACCATTACAGGTGTCAGACTGAATTTATTTGCCTTTTGTGGGGCTGAAAATTAGTTCTCAATATCTAATTTGTTGGTTTGCAAATTTCTTTTCTCAGCTAGTAAATATCTAAGTGAAGCCTACAATGTAAAAATTAGTGTACTAGGGTCCATTTAGAATCATAATTATTCCTTATTTTACTAGACAATTTCCTTCTTTTTGACTTCCTATGAGTACTTTAGTTTTCAGTTACAGAAAATGAAGTTTCAGCAAAAAATCACAGTGTTAGAAATATTAATGAGAAGAAAAGAGCGAATGGGAGAGTAAAATCAGCCTTAGTACATCACCAAATGTGATGTCACCAAAAAAGAAGTACCATATAGGGTGTGTGTAAATAAATGTACATAAACACATAAAACTTATATCAATATATTCTCTCCAAAACCATTTTGTAGAATAGTCATGAAAGAATGAAAACAATAAGGACTAATGAAGAATGGCTTAAAGAATTAAGATTTGGGCCATCATGTTGGGTTACGTCTGTAATCCCAGCACTTTGGGAGGCTGAGGCAGGTGGATTGATCGAGCCCAGGAGTTTGAGACCAGCCTGCTTACCTACCTACCTATTTATAGGCCATTTTATATTTCCTTGCCTTTATTCAGACAGCAATCTGCCTTAAGACTCAAAGCAACATGGTGAAACCCCATCTCTCCAAAAAAAAAAAAAAAAAAAGGCAATAATTAACCAGGTGTGGTGGCACATGCTTGTAGTCCTAGATACTTGAGAGGCTGAGGCGAGAGAATTGCTTGAGCCCAGGAGGCAGAGGTTGCAGTAAGCTAAGACGATGCCACTGCACCTAGCCTAGGAGACAGAGCGAGACCCTCTCTCAAAAAAAAACCAAAAAACAAAGAATTAAGATTTGGACAGAAGTCTAGTTATACAGATTCTATAATCATTAGAAGATGTCCTTTCATCTCTAGTACTATTTTACCATAATTAAGAGTATACTATTTTTTGTCAGAATGAGGTATAAAAACTTAACAAATATTTTATTAGCTTTTATCTGTAATCTTATCCTCTGAACAAAATTCACAGTGACTCTATTATATTGATGCCATTTATACAGCAACAATGAAAAGCCATTTTTCAATAGGCAAGTGTGTTTTGCCATAAGTTCTTGACAACTGAAAGTCTCAATTTCTACCACCACTTAACACAATTAGCACTTTTACCATATAAAGTTGTGGCATGTGACCATGTACACTATACTTTAAATGTTTAGGAGATCAGACTTGGATTATGAAGATTTGCATAATATTCTGGCCTTATATAAAGCTATTTCAAATGAAACATTAAAGTCTACAATTTTCACATTAAGATGAATCTAAGCCAACACAAATTGTAATCTAGAAACACCATTTACAAGTGACACATATTCAAGCTCAGACAAGTAATATGCAGAAAGTGAGACTCAGCCAATTGCAACAAGAATTAAATAACCACTTTTACCTTGACATTTCTTTACCTTTAATACATGACCCAAATTACAGACACAAGTTTCGAAGAGAAATAAAATGACTGCTTTTGTAGTGCAGAAGTATAAAACATTTTTAAAATCTCACATTTTTAAAGATATGGGTCCTAACAAAATATT
This sequence comes from Homo sapiens, assembly GCF_000001405.40. Lineage (NCBI taxonomy): Eukaryota > Metazoa > Chordata > Mammalia > Primates > Hominidae > Homo > Homo sapiens. Next base: position 86,710,176 of record NC_000004.12, on the reverse strand, counting down.
TCAATTTTCAAACAAAGCAGAGAAACACAGTAATAATATTATGTATTCATATATTAAGTGTTCTTTTCTATGCTTCCTTTATGGGAGAATAATTTTGGGAGATTAGCGACTGTACCTTTTGTGTTTATTAGTCTACTGTATTCCATATTACACCACATTGCAATCAATAGAATATGTTCTAAAATCCCTTGAGAGCTAGACATAATGAATAAAATTTTTAACCTGGGTGAACAAAGCTCATACAAGAGTGAATGTATGTAAGTAAAGAAGGATATATGAAGAAGTGCTCTGTAAACAAACTGTTAGTCACTCTATAGATCTAAAATATATGCAGAGTAGGGATATCAAAAAGAATGAACAGTTTCCACCTCCTTCTATGGGGGTCTTGTGTGATATAGTAGCCACATAGCTGGGCTGTGACATCGGCTAGGCTCACTGTATCACTCTTTCAGAATCTTCAAGGATTCACTGTTGTTACGACTTCACTGTCTTTTTCAAAACTTTCAAAGAGTACAGAGTTCAATAGGAAATGAATTACATTCTCTGTTGGTTGTTCAGGTTATATGTGAAAAGTATGTGAGTTTACTCTTATGAGTTGGACAAAACGGAGGAAGAGGAGGTGTGATTTGTCCTCACTATAACTTGCCAGAGAATATTGTTGTAACCCATTATCTGAAATAGCACCACTGCATATATTAAAATTCTTTAATAGCCACATTGTAATACTCCATTTATATTAACAAACACTTACTGAGTACCTATTATATGTCAGGTATAGTGGCAGATGCTAAGGATACAGCTATGAATTAGATAAGGCCAAATTTTTGAGGTCTGTACGAGGAAAGACAAGCTCCTGAAAAGCAATAATTTCAATGAAAAACAGCCCATCATCATCCTAAACTGGGGAGGTGAGAGAAAGATTCCTGAAACATCAGTGTCCGAAAGCTTTGAATCTTAAGGCAGATTGCTGTGTGAATAAAGGCAAGGAAATATAAAATGGCCTATAAATAGGTAGATAGGTAAGTAGGCAGGTAGATCTATCAATCAATCATCTATCTATCCACGCATCCATCCACACAAGTGTGTGTTTGTGTGTGTGTGTGTGTATGTGTGTGTGTATGTATTTCTTTTTCTCTACATACACACAAATTCAGAGCTGGGGAGGCAAGGAGGGAGGAAAAGTGTGTAAGAGAGTAAGAAAGAAGGGAGTGGGGAGGAGAGAAAGAAAAAGGGAGGGAGGGAGACAGGGAGAAAGGGAGAGAATGATAGTATGAGGTGTGATATGGGAAATGCTAAAAGATGAGAGGAGAGATATAATCATGGGGAACCTTAAGTATGATGATCCAAGGAGCTAGAATTTTATCCTGTTCAGGTGATGGAACATTGGTAAATGGCTGATAGCAGAGAATAAAGGTATTCAAACTTGCACGGCAGAGAGACAAATGGAGAGACAAGGGGACTGGGATGAAATAAGGAAACACTTAAGTTTAAAATTGCTGGGTCTTAAAAAATGTGATGATACCTATTGTTAGTAAGATCCATTTTCGATCTTTCTTAAGACATATCAATCCGTCCTTAGAGAGTGGCTATGTCAAAGCCAAACTGGGTCTATGTGAACCATGCTATGAGTAGATTTAAATTAGGTCTCTCATTTCCAATAAAGGAACATATTATTTCTGTGAACTCTGATCTCACGTTATCATGAGTACAGACACTGGAAAGTCTGTATTGGTTTGACCTTTAATTTTCCCTAGTATTTAAAAATGTAATTTTATTTTTCCACTTGGATAAACCGAAAGAAGAGAAGTAAATATACATTCTCAGTTGTATTCTTACTTAAACTAAATAACGATTTATTGCTCACCATCTCCCAAATGGTTCTAAAGCCACTCTTTCCTCAACTGAGTGTTGGTATTTTATACTGACCTAATATCATATGGGAATAGTCTAAAGCTGCACTGTCCAATATGGTGACTACTAGCCACATGTAACTATGTAAGTTTAAATAAAATATTCAGTTCCTCAGTTGCACTACCTACATTGCAAGTGCTCCATAGTCACATGTAGCTAGTAGCTACTGAGTTGGACTGTGCAGATATAGACTATTTCCTCCATTGAAGAAATTCTGTTGGACAATACTGGTCTAAATTACAAATCTCTTTAAAATCCAGCCATGGAAACACAGTAGACACTTCTTTCCTTTCTAAGATGTTGATTCTATCTACATTATAATTCAGAGAAACAAAATATATTTGCATCTCATTTATAATCTAATACTTAAGATTTCTTAATCTAGTAATTAAGTCATTAATGCCTGAAATACATGTGGTATTTGACCAATATTACAGAAAATCCCTGCTTATTCTCATTTACTTTTGTGGAACTGATATAAATCAAATAGAAATTTAATATTAAAATTATTTATTTTAGCTCACGGAGTAACTTAAATAATAACTCAATCATTTTTTTCTTGCTATTCAAAGGGAAGTAAAGAAATACTAGTTTTAGAATTTAAAAAAGATGTTTTGAAAAAATATATATATCTCCATAAAATTATTAAGATACTAAAAGTACCACACATAATACTTGAACATGAACTCACACACTTATAAATTCATCCCTTTGCTTTTCTTAAGCGTAACTGTAAGAATGTAAACTTTTAAATTCAATCTTCTCAAATGAAACATTAAGGTTCCTCAAATGAGAATGGGTTCCCATACTTGAGTGTTTACATATTCTAGTTGCACAACATAGAGTCTAAGCTGTGTTCACAGGGCAGTCACAGGATAGCAAAACTAGGCTAGGACCAGAGATCACACTACTAGAAGGAAGAAAACAATATTTCATTTTGATGTGAACTAGGTTGATTAACAGCCCATTAAACAAATAACACTTAACTATAGCCACTTTTGTAGAAATTAGTTGTATCTGTTCTTCATACTTTCCTTTCTAGTATTGTGCAGAATGCAGAGGAGTTGCAACTGTTGGAAGCCAAATGCTATTAATGATCCCCACCCAGGGTGTGGGAGTACTGCTCACTCTGTACTCACAGTACTGGTTCCAAGTCAATCTCTCATAATCAGGAATCTACTGCCAACCCACAGAGCAATGGATAGGGCGTGTATGGTAATCACATTACAAGAAAGACAGAAAGAGACATTTGTCAGATACTCCTATTAGAAAACAGACAACTACTCAGATCTTGGGATGGAGTTGAAGAGGTAGAAAATAAAATACTGAGAAAAAAGAGGAGAATTAGATAGTCCTGTGCTGAGGTGAAAAAAAAGTAGAATTAAAAGAATGAAGCAAAAAAGGGCAACATCAAATTTTAAAACTAGTTTCTACAAGAGAAACCTAAGTTATGTTTCTTCCTGCCCCTTCCCTACTGCTTTACGTATGTAGAGAACTATCTGAAAAGTTAACTTAATAATCGCAGTAATAATCTTCTATTTATAATTTTTCAATTTCAACTACAATTTCTTTCTTGAGATCTTTTTTGTTCCTATCTCATTTTGTTCCCAAAGAAATCAGACCACTCAATGCCAATCACTGCTTTTTGATAATTTATGGCCTATCTGGTCAGTCATAGGATTAGCTGCCTTAAAGATTCGACCATAGTAGAACCCCACCAAAATACTATCTACCACAATAGATAACATAATGGAGTTCCACCTTAACCCCTGCACCTTATGGTTTAATACAGAAAAAACCAAAAGTGCCTCATTTTAGCCTTTCCTAATACTATCTTGTTTCACTGTATTAAAAATTATATAATTTTTTTAAGGAGAGACTTAAGGGACTTGGAAGGCAGTTAGTTGAATGTCCAATGTCCCAGGCAGTAACAACATCTTTTCAACCATGTATCTGACATGTATCTGGTCTCTTCTTTAAATCAGGACAGCAGAGTGGAAGAATCTTATAATTGGGCTCTAGAGACTGGGATTCAAAATATGGCTCTGTTATGAATTATGAATTATGTATCTCCTTTGGCAAACTAGTCTACTTCTCTGGACCTCTGAAAATGAGATGTTTGGTTTAAATGGTATCCAGATTCCTTCCACTTCCAAATTCCATGATTTGAAGGTCTTGTGTCCCTTATGCTAGTTAGCTAGTTGATGTTGTTAGCTGGGGAAATGCTGAGGAGATTATTTAGGTAAAGGATCCTTTCAAGAGAATGGGGCCTGGGTTAAGGAAAAAGCTATATTATCAGAGGTTGGAGGAGAAAACTGTTTATTAACTCAATAACCCTCCTAGAACACCCAAAGAACAAATTAAAATTTAGCAATTTTGTTTCTTCCAATTATTATATCAGCTCAAGGAATGTGAGAATACATCCTTTTTTTTTTTTAAGTCACATGTAGTGGGAAATCCTTAGACTGATATTCTGAAAATCCATGATGAAAATCTACAATCTCCAAAATAATAAAACTCTATCTTTAACTCATTATGTGATCTTAGGTATGTTATTAAATCTTTACAAGCCCAAGAATATGTTTCGATAACATGTGCTCTAAGACCTCTTCTAATTCTATAATTACTGAAACCCATTAGCAGCTGCCAAATTTAAAGATCACAAAAATTGTACAAAACATTTCTTTTTAAAACTTTTAAAACACAAATAGTTTAAGAAAGAAATGTGTACAATAAAATGTATACATTGATATTTACAGTTCTGCTTGATTTATCACACATAAAAGGGATCTGTGAAGCCTGTCTCTCACTAGAATTAAATGAGAAAAATGGGATTTACATGATTTTCTATTCTTTTTTCTTTGTATAGTAGCTAAAATCTTCATATTAACAAGCTGCACGTTTGTTTGCGCATGTCTTTTTTTTTTTTTTTGAGACGGAGTCTTGCTCTGTCACCCAGGCTGCAGTGCAATGGCACGATCTTGGCTCACTGCAACCTCTGCCTCATAGGTTCAAGTGATTCTCCTGCCTCAGCCTCCTGAATAGCTGGGACTACAGGCATGTACCACCACACCAGGCTAATTTTTGTATTTTTAGTAGAGATGGGGTTTCACCGTGTTAGCCAGGATGGTCTTGATCTCCTGACCTCGTGATCTGCCCGCCCTGGCCTCCCAAAGTGCTGGGATTACAGGCATCAGCCACCGCGCCCAGCCTTGTTTGCAACATAAATTACCTCACCTTTAGAAAAAGCACAGCATAAGACCAGCAAGTTACTCAACTAAATAACTAGTAAGAATTAGTGCTTTTGAATTCTAAACTTCTAACATTCCTTTTGATTAATGCCTGTAGTCTAAAGCAAACATAATTTATTGCTGCTTTCAAGTTACTATATAATAATGGAGGTTTAAGGTAGTGTATTTCCATAATAATCCAACATTTTTAGGTGTTTGTTTAACTGGGTTGTAAAATATCCTCTGGGGGAATAATGGGTAGGTTCTTCATGAGAGCAAATGCTTTTGAAAACCCTAGTTAAAAAGATTTCAAGATTGTCCTATATCGAACAATTGAAAGCAGATTTTTTTTTAAAAAGCTTTTCTTTTGTTTGTGCATCCTATAACAAATACGAAATTTCTAAATCTGGAAATGATGTATCAAATACGTAATTACCTTTTGAACAAATAAGGCTCTACAAGAATTATGTATCATCTTTGCAGATATAAAAGCATATGTAGAAATAAGATGGTCTGAGTTTCCTTAACACTTATACACATGTGCATACACATTAACTGAGAAGATAATAGAATCATATGCTACAATAGTCTAATATATTTTGTTATTGGTAATGAAAAACAAACGAAATATATTAAATAGACTATTATGGTATAATTTAACAGATTAAATACGTTTCCATTAATGTTTGATGTTTTTCCTGTTTAACTCTCAAACCAAGGTTCAAGTATAAAAAAAAAATCTCAAGCTTTGCTAATTCACATTACTACTAATTTACCAAATATCAAGACAAGTAATGTTTTGAAACTTAGATCACACATAAAAACATTAGAAATTATAATGATTATTATTTGAGACGGAGTTTCGCTCTTGTTGCCTAGGCTGGGGTGCAATGGCGCGATCTCGGTTCACTGCAACCTCCACCTCCTGGGTTCACTTGATTCTCCTGCCTCAGCCTCAGCCTCCCAAGTAGCTGGGATTACAGGCATGCACCACCATGCCTGGCTAATTTTTGTATTTTTTTTTCAGTAAAGACGGGGTTTCTCCATGTTGGTGAGGCTGGTCTCGAACTCCCGACCTCAGGTGATCTGCTCGTCTCAGCCTGCCATAGTGCCAGGATTACAGGCATGAGCCACCACGCCTGGCCAATTTTATTATTACTATCATTAGAGACAGAGTCTCGCTTTGTTGCACAGTCTAGAGTGCAGTGGCTTGATGACAGATCACTGCAGCTTCAAACTTCTCAGCTCAAGTGATCCTCCCACCTCAGCCTCCTGAGTAGCTGGAACTACAGGTGTGCACCACCACACTTGGATAATTAAAAAATTTTTTTTGTAGATATGAGGTCTTGCTATATTGCCCAGACTGGTCTTGAACTTCTGACTTCAAGCAATTCTCCCACCTTGACCTCCAAAAGTGCTAGGATTACAGGTGTGACCCACCATGCCTGGCCTATAATTTCATTTTTAACATTCACAATAAAAAAAAGATACCATTCAGCCTTTTAAATACTCATATAGATTGGTACATATCTTCATTATTTCTATTTCAAAACTATAATGGTTTTATCTATTTGAATCATTGAAGGTTTTTTTTTTTTCACAATGGACAAGATTTCTTTATATAATTGTTTCCATGAGGGCATGCTTGACAGAAGGTCAGACTAAATTAATGTTCATATACTAGCTGTTGTACAACATAAAAAAGGAGACTTTTCTTTTAAACCATAGAAAGTGCCTAATCTCTCTGCTATCACAATTCCAAAAGTTGTGAAGTTGTGTATAATATAAATTTCTAAATTTTTACTTCCTATCTTTGAAAGTATTCGATCAAGGTTATATACAACCATCTCATAAAGTTGGCTAATGTTTTTGAAAAATTCATGTTATATCGGAACCCATATCAATTAACTATTCAATAATTTCCTCCATAATTTCAAATTCTTTACTAATTTTCAATTCCTGAAATTGAAAAAACAATGCAAAGCTTCTTTTACTCAAAGTACAGCAAAACTCATAAATTATGTTGTTCAGCTCCAGAGCTATGCCTGAAACTTAAGTAACAGGACAACAGATCTTTAGAATACTTTAAAGGAAATATATTAATAAAAAATATTACACTAGAATAACGATCTTAAAAATAAATATGATCCTTAATTATGTCATTCTTTTCTTTGAACTAGAAAGATCTTAAAGTCGTCTTTAATCAGCTATGTCCTAGGATTTGTCTAGGAAGCAAGGGCAGTATAAAACTTGAATCTTAAAAAATGTACAGAATTAGATTAAAAATTATCTCTTCTTTTCTCTTGCTTCTATTCATACTAAAAATAGCCTCTATATGTCACATCTATTTATACTGAAAATAGCCTCTATCCATATGTCTTGGACATAATTTTACTCCAATCAACATATTGAGTTTTGTGTGTGAAATCAAGTATTTTTGAAACAGTTTTTCTCTAGAATAAGAAATTACCATTTATAAAGTTATTTTTATATTACTCACACTAATAATGTAATATTAATCACTTTACATTCATTACCTAATTAACCTACTTTGAGAAGCCCATTTTATAGATGGAGTAATTTAGACTTGGAGAGATGAAGCCCAAGTAAAGACCACATAGTTACTAATGGAGGAACTAATTCAAACCTAGGCTGACTCTGTAAACCTAAAATGTACTATGATTCAAAAGGTATGGATTCAAAACTTTATTCCAGACAAAGTAAATTATAATCTTCTACAGTTGTGCCCCCAAAATTTGTAATTTGAAGCTGGTGGTTTGAGAAGCAATGCACCATAACCATGCTATTCTGCTTCTCCGGCATTGCTGATTTTGATGAACTGCTTTTTATTTCCACAAACCAGTTATTTACTGAAGCCTCCCATGAGATAGTGCATGGTAGACGGTATGGTGGAGAATTTAAGCAAAAAGAAGTAGAAAATATGCCTCCTGCCTTTGAGAAGCTTACAATCTAAAAATATACTATCCCAAATATCGAGAGACTATAACGTGACTGGGCATTTTTATTAGGGATGACTTTGTGGAAGCAGAGTATTTCAATTAGGGTTTTGATGGAAGGGAGAACAGAAATTGACAGAGAAGTAAGAGACTAACCAGGGTACAAAAATTTGGCAGTGAAAATAAGACTTGTGGAATAATTTAATAACCCTTCTTTATTTCAAAAAAATATTTAAAATACTTCAATTCTTTCTCAAACATGCACAGAATTACTAACCTTCTACATTCATGGCTTCCCTCAGAACCTGAAGTTTCTTTTGTCTCTCTCGGATTCGGTCCAAAGCACTTGATATTGCTGAGGAGGTGGGCAATTCTCGAGTGTGATATATTGGATCCATTTTCTGAGGGCCAAAGATATCCAAGGCTATACTTCCATCTGAGTATCTTGCCTCCTTTTTTCTAGGAGTAGTTGAAGTCCGCACTGTTACTGCCTCAGGGTGACAACGACGATATGTGGCAGTCTCTCCTGAAGAGAAGTCTCTGTCAGCTGTACAAAGCAAGTCCATGGATGAAGCCCAGATCTTCTTCTTAGAAAGCACATCAATGCCAGGGATGGGTTTTTTTTCTGGGCCACTAGTTTTGAACTGGTAAGGGGAGAATGTATTTTCAGAATCTTCACGTCCAGAATTATCTGATAAAATGTCCTTGAAATAATTCTCATCTTGTGTATCTTTGATGGACAGAAATCCCATAGATTTACTAAGCCCTTTGTTAAGAAAGGTCTGATGAGAGAGTGGAGGCTTTTGTATGTCTAGTACATCAGAAGTAGAGCTTCTTCCTGGAATGATAAGAATCTATCATGTATGCACACAATTTTTAGAAAATAAATGGAAATGTAATCCACTATTGACAATGAAAGTGGTGGCAATTTCCTAAATGCTCCAAATGGAAGATCAGAGGTGAAATGGGATGGTGATGATGGTCATAGTGGAAGAGGAAAGAGATACTATGTTTGCATAACTTTTCATAGTTCATCGTCTCTTATCTAATAAAAGCAATATACTGAACTGACATTTTTGAGTGGTATTATTTTATATTCATCAAATGTGAATTATTTGGTTTTAAAAAAGCAGACAACTATCCAGTTTGGAAGAATATTCACTATCCAAGAAATGATTTGGGGCAGTAATGGAATGTATAGTGAACTACTTTAACTTCTAAAGGTATAACTCAAATGTATGTCATATCACTATAAAGCCCTAGTATATTTCGATCTTTTAAATACATACATTTAAGGAAGAAACAAAGAATTCTTGCTATATTCTGGATGGAAATAGGATTGTAGCATTTCGAATTCTTAAGTATCAAGATTTTATTATAATTAGACATGTTTTCAGAAAACTTTGTGTTTGAAATCCAAATAATTTTGACTGTGTTTAAGTTATGAAAGAAACTTACTGTTTCCATGGCAGACCCTCATGCACTAAAAAAGTTTTTTCCTCTAGAACATAATTTACCATTATTTGCCAATTGTAATAAAGTACCAACTCTTATTCTTTAGTCCTTGATATAGTTAAAAATCAGTAGTCATTTTACTTTTTTTTAAAAGGCAGTAGTCTATAAATGTGACACACACCAAAAATGTCCATCCAGAAATTAATTTTGTGAATCCATAGATTCAACAAAAAAGCATATATATGGCCACTACTGAAAAAAGAAATACGGGTAAATATTTTATAGTCACTAACTCAATAGCCCATAAACACTGAAGATTTCATGTGCTACCTTCTGTGATCGCTGTGATATCTATCTGCTATACAATATAAAATAATGACTAAAACCTTAATAATAATAAATTGCTTGTTAATTTATTTAAAGACATCAATTGCCTCTTTAGTGTAACAACTATAAGCTTTAATTCCCTGAACACAAATTTTACCTTAAAAAATCTTTAAAAAGGGAATTCATTTCAGAATGGCAGCAAATAATTGCTTAAGGATAAGATTAAAACATTGTGCTTTTATTGTGCCTCATCTTCCCATGAATCTACTCAAGTGTAAATAAGGATAACATCTATATTTTGGGCACATCAGATAAAGAACACCAAGAAATATACCATACCACATCCAGACACAGATTGTCACAGACTCCAGCTTCTAACCTAAGATAATTTGAAAACTGATAAACATATGTCTGTGTTACAGTATTTTAGGGATGTTATATTCTTAAACAAACCACATTTGGAACTCATTAATTTAAAATTTTATTGAATAGAGAACAGAGATATTCTTGAAAATTGATAGAACACAATAGATTTAAAAAAAGAATGGAAAGGATTCAAGGATCATAAACCACACATAGATGAACTTAACCATCTGCCTTATCCTGCTACCTTGACTACCAAACAAGCAGTTAAAACTTGGAAAAACATCAAACAAGTGGGTATTTGGCAACACCATAAATTCATAGTCAATCACTTTGTACACGCAACACCACATGTTAACAGTGTGCTTACTTTCCACAATGACTGTTTCACTTTTCCTCATTCTCCACATTTTCTAACTTAACTCCCTATTCTTTTGGCTGATGGTGTTGTCATAACTCCAGGAAAACCGGAGCTGTTGGAGGAGAGCTTTCTCATCTTTCCATGAGTAATTCTATACTACCTATGTCTACTTTTTTTTTTTGGAGGGGGGATAGAGTCTCGCTCCGTCTCCCAGGCTCGAGTGCAGTGGCGCCATCTTGGCTCACTGCAAGCTCCGCCTCCCAGGTTCACGCCATTCTCCCGCCTCAGCCTCCCGAGTAGTTGGGACCACAGGCGCCCACCACCACGCTAATTTTGTTTTTGTATTTTTAGTAGAGAAGGGGTTTCACCATGTTAGCCAGGATGGTCTTGATCTCCTGACCTCGTGATCTGCCCACCTCAGCCTCCCAAAGTGCTGGGATTACAGGTGTGAGCCACTGTGCCAGGCTATGTCTACTCTTTTCTTTGCCATCTTAAACGATGAAATTTCCTGCCAGTTGAAGGCCAATCCCCAATATGTATTCTGGATTCCCCCCTCATAATTTTACTTTATCAAAGACTTTACTTCTTTCGTTAATTCTCTGTTGCTATCTCCTCATATTTTCAATATTCTTCCTTTCTGTTGAATATTCCCATTAGTATGTGAACATAAGCTAGTATCTCCCATAGTCAAACCAAACCAAACTCTTCCTCTGTTAACCACATTTCCCCCTAGCTACTGCTATCTCCCATTTCTTACTTCCCATTCATTATTGTACCCACTTTAATCAGCCTCCAACTACTCTATACATTAGCAACTCTCATTAGTTATGACCAATGATCTCTGCTTGCCAAATCAGATGGACATTTTGGTATACATATTTTACTTCTCAGTAAAAGCTGGTTATGATGACCATCCTTTACTCAATCTTTCCTCTCTTTACATACCTGCTTTCCTCCTACCTGTCAGACTGCTCATTCTTAGTCTTTGGTTTTTCTTCCTTTATGAGATATCCAAATGTTGGATTTCCTTAGGTGTCAGTTTTAGAATTTCATCTACTCACTTTGTATTTATATAACTTCTTCCATTAACAAGGCAGTAATATCATCTATACCTTGACAACTCCCAATTGATATGCTTAGCACCGACCTCTTCTGGGAGTTCCAATCATATGTAATGAAACTTCTACTTATATTTCAGAAGACCCTCAAATGCAACATGCTCAAAACTGATCTTTTGCTTCGTACATCCAGAACTGTCCATTCTCCCCCAGTCTTTCCTATTACAATAAGTGGCCCAATTACTCAACTGATTGTTCAAAACAGAAATATGGGCACCATCCTTAAATCTTTTACCTTATTTAATCCCCATATCAAATCCAACAGTAAATGATGGCTATTTAAATTCTCAAAGACATCTTATTATTTCATGTATTCTAATTCCACTGCCATCACCCTATTTCCAATTAACATTATTGCTTGACTAGATCACTGCAATGGCCCTAAGCATTTTCCTTCTGGAGAATGCATAGCTTGCTAAAAGTTAAATGGCAAACAATAAATATACTTTATTTACAAATAAAAGATTTCATATTTGTATTCCTTGGGTAAGATTTCAAGAATATAAAAAGTCTTTGTAATAGAACACATCCCATTTATTTTAGTTAAATTTTAGAAAAAACTTCCTTGTAAATTACATTGTGTTTTAACTATTTTTGTTATATGTGATTAACATTATCCTACACTGGATATCATCATTTACCTTTCAATTCACCCAGACTCAAAAATTCACATCTCTTAGAAGTAAACTTCGAAATGGCATTTCAATATTAAAAGAGGCTCCCCAAGTCCCCATGTATCCTCACAAATGTGTCCAAGTGCGTTTCAAAAGAAAGAAACATGATATTACTAATATGCGTAAGTTCTAAAGCACCACCATGTTGATCTGAATAATAGTGTAAGTTTCCACCTTAAGCTTGGCAGGAAATGTTTGATTTCTTTCTGCTCAGTGAAGCTATTTAATCAGCACTGGCAGTATTAGGTAACAAAGTAGGGTCAGAGAGCCCACTAGTTTAGGCTTTAGCTTCTGTGACAGATCTTGGAGGTAAGATATAAGAAGAGACCTTTTAAGGTCATTTACTTATAGATAAAAATCTTTATTACATTTGAGCTGAACAATTAAATCACTAGGTATAAGGCATTATCCCCAAATTTGCATACATCTTTCCATCTAATTCTGTATCTCCCTGTCCATCTTAACATTTTCTTTATTAAAGACTACTCCTGTAGTCAGGAGCCTAATAAACTAATGCTATCACCACATACAGATTTTAGGTTGGTGCACACTGAAGAAAATGTTTTATTAATAATGTATCACAAGGTTGCTTTGCTGCAATTGACCACTGACAGTTAAGAACTGGCACTGCCAAGTGTCCTAGGTGTCTTAGAAGAATTACTTCTTCAAGAGATAATTTTTTTTTCAATCTTAAACTTTTAAAATTAGTCTATGCAGTTGACTATTAGCTGCTGAATGCTTCTGCCTGGTAATGGCTATAATTAGTATATTTATATTGGTTCTGTCCTTAAAATGAGGTTTTATGAATTTGTAAAAGGTAAATGAAAAGAGCACTTGTGCAATACTACTGTGCAAAGCACTGATGGTTAAGAAGGTCTAAAGAATACTCTCCCCTTATACTTGATCCAAATAAGACTATTATTTCAGTATTAGGACCTTTAACTCTACTAAAAAAAATAGAAACACAAACAAAATTTGGTTAATCCTGAGTGACTAATTGTAATTACTCACAAATTCTCTTGAGTTTAGATACAAGGGAGATTTTATTCTCCAATATGACTATTAGAGGATAAAATCAACAAACAATCTACTTAAGGATTTGATTTCTCTGTTAATTTTGTAAAGTCATGACAGTCAACGCTTCCTTATCTGTATTAGAACAGCATATTAATAATAAGAATTCTAAGGAACTATTAGACAATAATACTAAATCTTTCTTAGTATTATAAAAACAAAATCACAAATAAAAGGCATTAAAATCTGGATTAAAATTTCTGATGTTTTTATTGTTATAATAAGAAAATGGTCCAATAATATGAGGCAAGATGTTTTATTTTTCTTTTGCATACAACTTAATGTTTAACATAGGCTAAATAAATAAACCATAGTCTCACATATTTCTTTATGGAGCTATTAAAGAAGTATACTACAAATATATTACACTTCAAAATCCAGTATTTCCATAAAACCTTTTCTCGTTCAGTCAACAAATATACACTGAACACCTATAAAAACTAATGAACTTAATATAGGTTTTCCCTATCCCCAGCATCTATATGTCCAGAAAGCTTAACTTTTATGAATGTCCTTTATGAAACAAATATACGTATATATGTAAATGACAAATAACCTATTAAAAATATGTTATCAAGTAGGTATAGACTCAGTATAATCTCTTAATTGCTATCTTTAAAATAATATGTAACAATTAATTTCTGAAACATTAAGCCTCTGAACCATTGAAAGTAATAAAATCTAAATTATGTTAGCATTTGATAATCCTTACAATTTGATAAATATTGCAAGGCTCACCTTTTTCTTTCTACAGACCCACACTGGAAAGGGAGATAGGATGGAAGTCATATATACATAAATAAATCATATGTGAATATTTTTTATTCTTAGAAAAATACACTGTCTGCAAAAATTAATAATACAACATTACAGTTACTAAATCAAGAAGTAACACATAAGCAAATAAACTTCAACTACATAACATGGCCACTTAATGGTAGTAGGAAATGATAGTAGGGAACTGCTGAAAGAGGTTAGAGAAAGAATAACAAAGAGAAATAAGAAAGGAGGGAGGGAGAGAGGAAAGGAAAGAGGGAGGTGGAGAGAGCAAAGAAAGAGAGGGAGAAAATAGAAAAAGATAAGTAAGAAAAACAAAAATGTCTTTTAAATCTAATGTTCTACTTATTAAAATGTTCACTATGTCTCCCAAAAGATTATTTCAGCTTGCTATTGATATTCATCTATAAGTTTGTTATTATTCGATTCTAAAATAGGAGACTGACTGCAAATTTGATCAATTAACAAATTGCTGCTATTATTAGTGCTAAAGTTTACACTATATACTATCTCAAATCCTAGAATAGTATAAAAATAAACATATTTTTACCTACAAAAAGAAAGTGACAAAAGTACAGTATGGGGACATAAGTATAGGAAGGAAATATTTGCAAGAAAGGATGAAAAATACTTTCAAAATTGTTACCACACTGTTATTTTTTTGGCCCATATATAAACTAATCATATATGCATTAGAAAAAAACTCTGATCTAACCAGAAATAAATTACTATACCAATGAAATGAAAGCTAAAATATCTTTTCAGATAGTCTTTATTCACAATAATTAAAATGGAAGCACCAAAACAGATACTTAACTGTACCATTACAAAATCACTCCCTTAGAAACAATTTTACTGCTTTTCTTTAACTTACACATTCCTTCCTCTCAGATATGAGAGTTCTGACTCTGTAAAACATTTGGTCCAGATAGTCAAGGTCTACATTTATTTTTCACAATTAGAGTTGCTCATAGGTTTTAAGTAAGACAGGTTTCTCTGATGCTCTGATTAAATTAAAATCTTAACTTTTTAATCTATTTTATTAAGCTATATCAATTAGAATATATTTTGTTAGAATATATTTAAGCAATCTGTACATTTACTTCTACCTAGCCCCAAGATCTAGGACAAGATCTAAAAAAGTATTTCTGTTAATGTTTAGATTATCATGATTCTCAAAACTGCTTGATAAGAAGAGAACAAAGATAATCAACAAAATCAAAAGTTTATTTTATAAATAAGCCATGCCTGAAAGTAGCAATGAAAAATAAATTGTCACATAAAATTATATTTACTTTTATTTCAAGTGTTTGAAATTTCCATTCTTTTTTTTTTTTTTTTTTTTTTTTTGAGACAGAAGTTCACTCTTTGTTGCCCAGGCTGGAGCACAGTGGTGTGATCTCGGCTAACTGCAACCTCTGCCTCCCCGGTTCAAGATTCTCCTGTCTCAGCCTCCCGAGTAGCTGGGATTACAGGTGCCTGCCACCATGCCCGGCTAATTTTTGTATTTTTAGAGAGATGGGATTTCACTATGTTGGCCAGGCTGGTCTCGAACTCCTGACCTCAGGTGATCCGCCCACCTCAGCCTCCCAAAGCACTGGGATTACAGGCGTGAGCCACCACGCCTGGCCTGAAATTTCCATTCATTTCTTTCAAAAAAATAAATTTAATACTTATCATAGGATACAGAATTATATAATGCTATTGACAAATAGCAAAATCACTACTCATCATTAGTTTTTATTTACTAAGTATCACATGACCTAAGGTAGTATTTGATAACTCCATGATAAAATCTATTTAGTGAGTTATTACTAGCATTTAAAAAAAAAAAGAAATATGATAAAAAATATCAGAGTGCAGTAAGAAAAACGTTTTCTGAAACTTTTGTTTCAGTAGTGTTTATGTTCATAAACATATACATGTGTTTATTTAGTCATGCTTTAAAAAGTATTTTTAATATGAAATACCACGATAAAGTAAATAAATATTATTATTATTGATATACCAATACTGGAAAGGGAAATAAGTTACTCTGGGAATCCTAAGTATATTAATAATGTTTTCTGTATAAGTTTAATGAAATTATTTTTAATGTAGCTAGTGTTCCTGCCCATTCCCTACCTCCAGTTTGTACGTTTACGTTCTAATCATAGTCTCAATTACCAGATTTCAAAGCCAGGTAAGTATAATTTTGTAAAGAAAACAATGGGATAAGGTTAAAGCCTAGACATTTCCTATTAATATACTCTTACCTGTTGGTAATCCTTTTCCTCGCAATCGATCTCGAATAGCCTGGCTTCGATCAGGCTTTTGTTCACTGTTACAGGAAAGCTGATCTGTCTGTACACAGGTAATAAAAAATCAAGTTTGACAAAAGGATCTCCCTTTTGTTTTCATGGTAACTGTTTACAGAATGACACTAGTTACACAGTTTTTGGAGGATGTAACATTAAATAATGAGACTCTATGTCCTATTGTATTTGTAGGGTAATTTGTATTCTTGGATAAGATTTATGTAGACCAGTGCTGGCCAATTCATTTCAGAAAATTAAAAGGGAAGAAGCAGTGACTGAAGAGTAACCTACTAACTAGAAAATACCATCAGATTAAACTTGTTAAAATGAGTTCTATTTGAAAACAGTAAACTTGAAGTCTTCTTTTTTCCCCAACCACTAACTACTCTTAAGTTAGTTTATAATTTAAAAACCACATTAATTTTGGTATAATAAAGCTTTCTCTTGATTATAACTATGAATTGAGGAATTTAAATTACTTTCAGAAATAATTTTATAGATCTTGCCCTTCAGAAATTACATTTGTGAAATGCTAAGTCTTTTTTTTTTTTTTTTTTTTTTAAATATAACGGAGTCTCACTCTGTCACCCAGGTTGGAGGACCTCGGTTCACTGCAACCTCTGCCTCCCAGGTTCAAGCGATTCTCATGCCTTAGCCTCCAGAGTAGCTGGGACTACTGGTGCATACCACCACACCAGCTAATTTTTGTATTTTAAGTAGAGACAGGGTTTCACCATGTTGGCCAGGCTGGTCTTGAACTCCTGACATCAAGTGATCTGCCTGCCTTGGCCTCCCAAAGTGCTGGGATTACAGGCGTGATCCACTATGCCTGGCCGAGAAATGCTAAGTCTTTAAATGGACGCTCTGAGGGATAACAAATTTAAATCAATGCTCTTTTAAGTTCCCTTTAAAACAAAATGTAATCTTAAAGTTTAATAGCTTTAGCAAAGGGTATCTGCTTGAAATAAAGTATGTCAAATTAGGTCAAACTCCACACTATAAGGGATAAAAAACTGGACAGACCACTGTTTTATTCAGGTGGCCAAATAGAGGAGAAATGTCAATATAAATGGAAGAAGAGAGAATGGTGAAGAGAAATTACTTAAATCTAGCACCAAAAGCATGCATACATATTTGTTTACACACACACAAACTCGCACATACCACAGAAATGTTTTAATATTGCTCCATTAGTGAATTTTGCTGAAGTATGGATTAAAAACCCATCTAAGGTGGTATATTCAAGGCTCAAGCATTATGTTTTCTACCTATAAGAAGACTTGTAAATGGAAGTATTTCTGAAATCATGTTATCAGTTAAGTTGCATAAATGATGTTAGTCCAGATTACACTGTACTGTCAGTGACTGAAAAGACAGTATTACTAACATCCCACATCTTTGAAAATTCCTGCATTGAAGTTAGTTACTATTAATAACTGTTGTTTATTGAACAGTTACTATATGCTAGGCACACACTTTGTGCTATTTAATCCTCAAACAACCTCATATGGTAGACAATATTATCCTCATATTATAAATAAAGGGAGAAATAGCAAAGAAACTTCTAAGGACCACAAAGCAGCTCATTAATGTGGAAATAACTACTTTTACAACAGTTTAATAATATGGATGATTGACACATATTATTATTATTCCTATTTTGCAGATAAGTAAAATTGTGGTCCAAATATTATAACATTAAATCAGTGGAAAAACCTAGACAAGTAAGCTGGCTTGCTGACTTTTACTCACGCTAATTAATGTTAAGTAAGAATGATGGTCACTCAGAATGAATTTCACACCAGTGAAAGACTAACTCATTCTGTCAGCTACTGGAGGCAACAAAAGCTTTAAGGAATATACTGGGGTCAAAAACACCCCAGTTCCAATTATGTCTCCATCATTTACCGTATCTGTGACTATGTGCAAGTTATTTAATCTTTCTTAGCCTTAGTTTTATGCCCTCTAAAATGAGGATAAAAGTATCTCTATTAAATTGAGGTTGTTATGATGAATAATGTGATAATGCACATCAACCCCTTAGCATAGTGTCTGGCACAAAGTAAACAAACACTTAAAAAACAGTAGCTGTTGGAGTTACTTCTACCCAGTGATGTCTAGGAGATGAGGAAGAGCAATAGAAAGGTAAGGGGAGCATTATTATACTTAGTAAAAATTTGTCTTTGTGAAGAGAGGCTCTCTACATGCTGATTCCAACTGATCCTTCTATTTTTCTCTCCCATTAAATAACCCCACAATACACCCCATGTCATACTGTTCCCCAAACATTCCTGCTTTCCCATTTCACAGCCTTTATCCAGGTTCACTTCCCTCTGCCGAGATTATCTAGCCTATAGGATACAGTTCGAAGTGCTATTTTTAATTTTAACTTTTTTTTTTTTTTTTGAGGTAGGGCCTTACTCTGTTGCCTAGGTTGGACTGCAGTGGTGCAATCATGCCTCACTACAGCCTCGACCTCCCAGGCTCAAGTAGTCCTCCCATCTCAGCCTCCTGAGTAGCTGGGACTAAAGGCATGCATCACCATGCTCAGCTTCAAAGTGCTATTTTTCAATGCAGTCATAATTTGTATCCTTTTCCTTTAAACTCTCATAGCTGTTAAAATTTTTACTATGTATCATTTTATAGCCTTCTTTCATTTTATAATTAAGCAAATGGTTATGGCATTTTAGATAAGAGCTCCTAGATCAAATATTTTATTCAAATTTGTATCTTCTATAATCCCTAGCACAGGTTTCATACATAAATGAACAATAAAGATCCACTATAATAAAGAGAACTAAATGCTAAACCTTAAAGGGATGAAGATTTTATATGTAATATGGGCAATTATTAGATAGGTAATATAATTTCTATGGTGACAGAAAAAAAATTCTTCATTCAAAGACAGAAAAAAATATCTCTCACAATTTTACTATAGGAGTAAAATTAGCAAGCAGCACAAAAGTCTTAGAGAAAGTGTGGTGTAATAAAAAAGTCCCTGGACTGTCTAATAGGAAACTCAAATCCCATAGTTGTTTGGGTATCAGTTTCCTTATCCATAAAGTGAAGTTTTAAAGAATATTAGTCTTATGAGAATGTCTGAAAAAAAGACCTCCAAGACCAAGAAAGTTTGGGAAATGCTTTATTTACATGCCTATTCTTCTTGAAGGTTAGTAATATAGTCTAGTATATTAAAGGTTCTAAGAAGTTCTCCAGTGAAAATACATTTAATTTCCTTTAAATAGTTTCTTCTCAAGCTTATTTGGTCATAGAGGAATTTTTAAAACAAAAATATTGAAAACAATATGAGAAACTTTGGTCTGGACAGATGGTTTTCAAAGATTTTTTAATAGCTTTACCTTTGTTCAAAAAAATCACACGCAGAAATATAAACAGATCAAATAAAACTGGAGCTGCTCTAGTTAAAGAGGGAAAATGGGCAACCAAGAACTCCATTTATTCGGCCTCTACTTCCTACATTTCCCTTCACTATAGAACCGCAAAGGTTTCTTGAGGGAGAGTTTACAAACCATTTGTCTAGAAGATCTGTGGGCCTGTTTGTTATCAACTGAAAAACTGTGCAGAATTTGAATACATTCCTGGCAGCCATCTGACATCCTGGTTAAGATGGGAACTAAACCCCTACCGATGAGGAATTCTGAGGAAGTCAACAAGAACACTGTGTGGCAGTGGTAAATTTGTAACCTGTGCAAGGAAGAGGGACCAACACTCCAGGACTACAACCCTAAGGATAAGAGCAGATAAAGTATAGATCCAGATCAGATAGGGCAAACAAGATAAAATACAGCCTTAGAAATGCAGAACAGAGGTGGGACTTTCAGGTAATATATAGCATTGGTTATTCTTGGGATTCTTCATATCCAAAACAAGAGAAAAACTAGAAGAGTCCAGGTCTTGGGGAAATCTGGCAGGGATACAAGCATGGATTCCCTGGATACACTAGGTAGCAGTGTTCCGAGAAGAAGGGAAAGTGGAGAAGGTTTGGGAAATACCTAGAAGATCCAGACAAATGAGTGGTCACGAAACAGGTATAAAGCAACAGAAAGTACATTTAAATATTTCTAAAACCCATTTTCATGTTAATACATTTTTTCTAGGTGTTCACAATAGAAGCATTTGCTAAAAGCTCCTTGGGAAAAGATCTAAGAAAGAAAACAAGAGGAGACACTTTCAGCTCAAACATGCTATCATTCTATGATATTTTTGGGAATAATTCTCACAAAATCTAGACTTATTGCAATGAGCTTCTAAATTTTAAGTATTGTTTCAAATAAACAATTTATATTAGAAGAAGAAATTCAATTTTCCATTTCTAGTCTTCATTGAGAAAATGCTACCTATATAGTATCCTTAAAGAAAATTTTGTGATATCTACTAAATTTTAAAATATGACTATATTTACTATTGTAACTGTAGCTTACCCCAGAAAGATTTCCCAGAACCAGTTTTACCAAGTGTTTCACGTAGGAAAATGAGGGTGCACAATTGCTATTCCTAATGTGGGCACTGCAAGCATCCAGCACAGTCCGAACAGAAACTCGAGCGTAAATAACATCCTCACACATTCCAAGCAGTATGCTGTTGAGATGATCTCCAAGCTTAATAGGCTGAATATAAATAAAGGAAAAGCCAGTGAGTAAATGTGAGCAAATATTTTTTCTAATGAGACAAATCATTCTAGGAATCACAGGAACCACACTAAAACACACTTCACATACTTGGAGGAAATAAATTCCTTTTTATCAGCATAAGCATTTTACTGTGTTTTACCTTTTTTAAAAATATATTAGCAGAAGATAGTTAACTTATACTTCCCTAGAAAGGAAGTACAGAAAAACTCTGGGCATTTTTAAATATAAAGTAAAGTAGTGAAATTCTTGGCTTATTCAAATGTTTTGATAAACAGTTACTACATGTACACACGCACACACAAACATACACACCATTTGGGGGAATAAACTGTTTCCTAATATTATATAAAATGTAATACATTCAATGTGTATAAATATAATTAGATACTCCCATGATAACTTAAAGAAGATTTAAAATATT
This sequence comes from Homo sapiens, assembly GCF_000001405.40. Classification (NCBI taxonomy): domain Eukaryota; kingdom Metazoa; phylum Chordata; class Mammalia; order Primates; family Hominidae; genus Homo; species Homo sapiens. The sequence goes on along the minus strand of NC_000004.12, from coordinate 86,688,559 downwards.
GCAATGCTTCAAGACCATTTAAATATAAATTATCATTATGTTGGTCAAACAGACAAGCCAGAATGTGAGGGTTTTTTTTTTATTAGTTAACGTATTTTGTAGAATATTATATCTGAATGGCCAAAGAGCATATGAAAGGGTGGCCAATGTCATTATTCACTAAGAAATATAAATTAAAACCACTACAAGAAGAAGCCACTACACACCCAATAAAATAGTGAAAAATAAAAATACTAACAATACAAGAATTGGTAAGGAGTGGAGCAATTAAAACTCACATCCAAGCTGACGGGAGTTTAAACTGGTATATCCACTTTGGTCTAAACAAATGCCTTTCCTATGACTCTTCCACTTCTTATCCATTTGGGTATTATTAATATATCATCCTTTAGGTGTTAGCTTAGATGCAATGTCCTTTAAGAAATCTGTCCTGACCCTCCAAGCCTAACCAGAAGTCCCAACTCTGTTTTCCATAGCATCCTCTATTTTCCCTAACATAGCATTTATTGCATTATGTTGCAGTTGGCCGTTTAGCTGTCTGTTCCTTCCAAAAAACTCCATAGGCAAGCGTCACTATAGTCCTAGTGTCTAACAGTATCTGACACAAGGTAGGTACTTAATAAATACTTTTAAATTAATATTAAATATTTCCAAAATATCCTGATTTCTGATCCTAAAATACAAGTTTATATTTCCCCTCTAATTTATATTTATTGATATTGACTCTCTATTTATATTTGATATTGACTTTATTTCCAGTTATCAGAAAAGAACATAAAGTGTTATAGACTGTGATCACATTTTACAAGTTAGGTTGCATAATATATGACACCAATATTTCCAGTAATATTTTAACTTTCTCATTTATATTTACAGAATTGAAACTGAAGAGAAAAAGAAAATATACATTATTTTTCATGATATAAAATAAAACCAAACAAAGTGAAGAATATTATTTATCTTTTATGGATCTTAAGATGTTTGTATTTTAGAATAAAAGGCTAAAATGCTTGTTACTTCCTTTTATTTAATAAGAAAAAACCACACCTAGTTATTTTTGGTTTTGACTTATAAATGCCTAAAATAAAACCTAATTCTATATGTTATATCTTGCCTTGATGAAATATAGCTATTTTTAAATTTTCAATTACTATTTACTACTATGTTTATATTGGTCATTAAGAATCAGAATTATTTTAGAAAATAATGACTAGAAGCAGCCCAATGGCAAACAGGGCCCAAGACCTCAGCAAGTGTTACTTTAATACCTGTGTCTGCTGTTACAGGGGTCGTGAAGTATGATGTACGATTTGAAGTGCCAAGAGAAAAAGCTATGACATTCTCTAATACAACACTCTGAGACATAGGGCTACTATTCCTAGAGTTTTTGCATCAAAAAAGCTATTACATTCAGTAGAATGAATCATCAAAGACAAGAGATTTTCAATCCCTCTTAACAGTCACTACATTAGATAAAATAAAGTACACGCTCATTTATCTTGCTATAATTTTTGAAGAGGCCAGGTCCATCTCACAGACTGAGTTGTTGAAACCTGGGTAGTGATTGCTACAATTCTAGGAATACCTTAAAAATAGTGTCTTTAGTACTTTACTGAAAGTTCATCCTGAAAGTATGACATTATTAATGTAAACAAACTCCATAGGAATGTTGGTACACCTGACAGCATGCTGTAGAACACGTATAAACGTGTGGAAGAGCTATGATATAAGGTGTAAAATTGAACATATGTAAAAAGTATAACAACTGTAAAAACTTAACTTACTTGGCTCTGAGGCACTTCATAATCAGCCCCCCAATACAGTGTCATTCCAAGAGAATAAATGTGGATCTAGGAATAGAATTTTTAAGAAATAATTTTATGATAAAATACAATAGAAAATTAAGCAAGTGCTATAAAAACAGATTATTTTGTTCCAAAGAAAATATAATACACAATTTGAGAAAATCATCATTTTATATTTTCCATAAAAGTATATGAGAGCTTAAAAGAGATAGCAAGACTGGAAATTATTACAACAGATGTTTTCCTAATTCCCCAGCCCATCCTTTATGCATAATCAGTTTTGTTAGCTTTTAAAGTTCCTGATGCAAATTCAAGCAAATACGAATATATATTCTTATTTCCTCCTTTCATAAAAGGTCAGAAACCTTAAAAATTACTAGGCACCTTGCTTTTTTTTTTTGAGGCAGAGTCTGGCTCTGTCGCCCAGGCTGGAGTGCAGTGGCACAATCTCGGCTCACTGCAACCTCCATCCCCCGGCAATTCTCCTGGCTCAGCCTCCCCAGTAGCTGGGGTTAGAGGTGCCTGCCACCATGCCTGACTAATTTTTCTATTTTAAGTAGAGATGGGGTTTTGCCATGTTGGCCAGGCTCGTCTTGAATTCCTGACCTCAGGTAATCTGTCCGCCTTAGCCTCCCAAAGTGCTGGGATTATAGGCGTGACCCACTGCGCCTGGCAGGCACCTTGCATTTTTAACTTATCAATAGGTATTTCCATATCAATGCTTAGAGATCTTATTTTTTTAAATGGTATATAGAATTCCATTAGTGGTTAAAGCACTGTTTATTTAACCAATCTGTTATTAATAGAGAATTAAAATTTTTTTCAAACCTTTGCTACTACAAATGATGTTTCAGCAAACAGCCTTGTAAGTATTTCTCTTAAATGGATTTTCTGAGATAATGGATGAGAAAGTAAATCATCTGCAGTTTTTATATATATTGTCAGATTCCCTTGCATAACAGTTGTACCATTTTGTATTTCTACCAGAAGTACATGTAAGAGTTTTTCCACATGTTTTTGTACATGTAAGAGTTTTTCACAAACCTTTTCCATAGAGGTATTACAAAGACTTGGCGTTTTGCCAATCTAAAAATTGACCAATAAATCTCACTGCATCACTGCCGTTTTTGTTTTGTTTGTTTTTTGATAGGATCTCTCTCTGTTGCCCAGGCTGCAGTGAGGTGGTGCAATCATAGCTCACTGTTGCTTCAAACTCCTGGATCACTCAAGTGATCCTCCTGTCTCAGCTTCTCAAATAGCTGGGACTAAAGGCATGTAAAACCACTCCTGGCTAACTTTTAAAATTTTTGTAGAGATGGGATCTCACTATATTGTCAAGGCTGTTCTCGAACTCCTGACCTCAAGAGATCCTCCCGCCTTGGCTTCCCGGTGTGCTGGGATTATAGGCGAGAACCACCTCACTTGGCCTCACTGCAGTTTTTTGTTTTTTGTTTTTCCTCACTGCAGTTTTGATTTGCATTTTCTCACAATGAATGGGTAGCGTAGTACAAGGAGAAGGAAGCTGAATCAAAGGACTTCTCTTTAGGTTGTTTGCTTTGTTTGTTTCTTAAAGATTAAAAAAACTCAACATATTTTTATGCTGACAGAAATGATTCAACAGGGAAAACTGGAAATGCAGGAGAGAATGGAGATTGCTAGAGGAACATTGTTGAGTAGATAAGGAGATTGAAGCTAAAGCACAAATGGAGGAGTTGGATTTATAGAAGAGCATGGACAGTTCATCTGTAGTAAGATGGCAGAGCATATGGGAATTCACACGGGGAGGCTGCTAGAGATATATTAGAGAAAGTCCTGATTGCTTCTATTTTTTTCTGTGACACAAAAAGCAAGATCTCAGTTATAAGTAATCATCTTTCCTATTTCCTTCTGTCGAGATTCAGAGCTCATCTTCTGGGCCACTTCTATCAATACTGAATTCTTGCCATGTGCTTTTGTTGTTGTTGTTTCGTTTTGCAGCATCCTTACTACAGCTTCATCTTATTTTCTTGTCTTTATTTACTCGGCTCCTATTTTTTCACCTTTATTTTTCAATTCTATAAACTGTATCAAATCCTCTTTAGAAATTAGTCAGATATATGTAATAAAAGTGGGTACCCTTCTTACAGTCTCACAACACTTTAATATATCCCTTACATTGCTTCCTAAATTATTTTTAAATTACAGATTAGAAAAGTTGTTCCACTTTTCAAATATGTTCATGGCTCTCAATTTTTAAACATTCAAATTTTAAAATAATGACATTTAGGGCTCACTGTGACCTTCCTCTATTTCCATTTTGCAAGCAGATTTTTAAGTTTTCTTCTGTCATCGCTCCTTCCCTTATCACAACCTAAACACTAGGCACATCTAGATAATTTTCTGTTGGCAAAATACATCCTTTTCTTTCTCAGCTTTTCGTGAGCTGTTCTTTCCACCAAAAATATTGTCTCTGGCCATTACTGATAGGCCAGTGATGATGTTCCCCCTTATATATGCTGTATAAATACTTCCAAACAGGTTAAAGCATTATCTCATATATGATACAGTTATATTTCTGCACCACACTTTGATGACGTAGTTAACTATTACCTTGTTGTATAGTTAGATGAGTCCTTGTTTGTCCTCCTTGAGGGAAACAGCTTTTTTTTTTTTTTAACATATCTTAGTATCCCTCTTAGCAAGTAACACAGAACTTTACATAGCAGATATTCAATACATGTCTGTTGAATTAAATTAAATGTGCAAGAAGTTCAAGACAGCCTAGTGCAGACTATTTGTATCATATTTCTCTTTAAGCTTCTTTCCAAATAGTCTTAAGTGTAAATACCTTTTCAAAGAACCTCATATATGAAAAACATTTTTCATAGTTTTAGCATAAAGGACTAATTGCATGCTCAATTATATTAATTTTGGTTTATGATTCTTTGAGATATGGCCCATGCTTTAAGATTCTTTATTATACTTACTTCTCAATATGCCAAGTGAGTTACTATATGTTAATAATTTTTATACATGACTATAATAAAACATTCTTAAAACTAGGTTATAAAATTGTACATTTGCTGATCACCTATATATATCATATAATAGTTAGTTGTATGTGTCAACTTGATTGGACCAAAGGATGCCCAGATATTTGGTCAAATCTCATTCTGGGTGTTTCTGTGAAAGTGTTTTTGGGTGAGATTAACATTTACATCAGTAGACTGAGTAAAGCAGACTGCCCTCCCTATCATGGGTGGGCCCTTTCCAGTCAGTTGAAGGCCTGAAAAGAACAGAAAGGTCAACTCTCCTCTGAGTAAGAGAATTCTTTCTACTTAACTGCCTTAGAACTGGAACATCAGTGTTTTCCTCCTTTGGACTCAAACTGAAACCTTCTTGGGTCTTAAGCCTGCCAGTCTTTGAACTAGAACTACACCAGCAATTCTACTGTTTCTCTGACCTTCGGACTCAGACTTGAACTACATCATTGGCTCTCCTGAATCTCCAGTTTGCAAACTCATCCTGAGGATCTTGGAGCTTGTGAGCCTTCATAATTGCACGAGCCAACCCTTTATAATAAACCTCTCTATACATACAAATACACACACACACACACACACACGCACACACCCTATTGGTTCTGTTTCTCTGCAGAACCTTGACTAATACATATAAGTATGAAATATCTCTATAGAGAAATAAAATATGCAAAATGACAATTGCTACTTTATTAGGACAGTACTTTATATGGGTTCCACACTTTTAGTAATATTTTAAATCATAATTAAAAATACATTGTTGAGCTGTTAGACAACTCCAGGTATGTCAGATCTTTGTTAAAATAACATGGTAATACAACCTGGTACCTAATATTAGAAAAATATTTCTTACAGAATACAAAGAAAAATGCTTTTACATTTATTCCAAACAGTCAGTACAGGGTAAGTGCATGATGCTTCCATACACTTTATTCATAAATTAAAAGCGTTTGTACTGTTGGTGCAGCCTGAAAAGACACAGGGATAAAGATCACTGATACAAAGATGTAACTAAATTAATATAGCAGCACTGACATCACTGACAGTGCTTAGTTCATCTGGTTAATAAATAGCAGCAATAGATGGGTTACAGACTGCATATATATATTGTGTAGAAAGGAGGAAGGTCACGCACAGGAAGGATTATTCAAAAACAGGCAAGTATTTGATCTACATATTTTCCTTTGTGTTTTACGTAATGAGAAAAAAGAGGAATCCACAATCCAGGATTATTAAATCTTTTATTAAAGATATCAACAAGTCCAAGGCGAAAAAAGAATCAGGCAGTACAAGTTAAAAAAAAAAAAAAGTTTTGATCTGCTTCTCACTTGTATTGCTTATTTATTTAGCCTCCCAGGGAATTTGTGGTTTTATGACCTTTGTTGGTCCATCCGTACCTTACGGACAGCACAGAGATGCTCTATTTCCCTTCCTTAGTATAGTAGTATAGCAGGCCAGGACACAGTCCTATAGAGGTAGGTGCCTTTGATAGTGATGATTCATATATACAGGATTCAATGAAAAGATGGAAGAGCTGATTCTAGATGACATGCATGTATAGAAGAGCTAGACAACTACCCATTTAGTCAACATTTTTTCTGAAAGTCACTAAACTAGGGAGTGTGATAAGATACAAATATTTCATCCTGGTATCTATAACACTACTATCATAAGCTAATAGATATTATTATATGTATTAGAATATAAATAGCTAGCATGTACATAATGCTTACTGTGTGCCAAACTTACATTATATACATTGTAGAACAATTTCTTCCTTTTTTCTTTCCTTTTTTTTTCTTTTTTTTGAGACAGACTCACTCTGTCGCCCAGGCTGGAGTGCAGTGGTGCAATCTCAGCTCACTGCAACCTTCGCCTCCTGGGTTCAAGCAATTCTCCCTGCCTCAGCCTCTTGAGTAGCTGGGATTACAGGCACCTGCCACCATGCCCAGCTAATGTTTCTATTTTTAGTAGAGACGGGGTTTCGCCATGTTGGCCAGGCTGGTCTTGAACTCCTGACCTCAGGTGATCTGCCTGCCTTGGTCTCCCAAAGTGCTGGAATTACAGGTGTGAGCCACCACGCCCGGCCTACATTATATACATTAGCTCATTCAATCTTACAGAGGGAAGGTAACTTGCCCAAGATCACACAGCTATTTAACTGACAGAGGCAAGATTCTAACTTTGGCTTCAGTTTCTTACCCTCAGCACTACTGACATTCGGGATTGGATGATTCTTTGCAGTGGGGAGCTGCCCTGTAAATTGCAGGATATTTAGCAGGATCCGTGGCTTCTACCCATTAGATGCCAATAGTACTATCTACTCATACCCTCTCAGTTATGACAACCAAAATTGTCTCCAGATATTGTCAAATGTTCCGTAGGAGAGAAAACTGCCTCTGGTTGAAAACTACTAATTTAATCTGTATATCCTTTTCCAGAATTAGAAGTCTAACAGGAGAGAGATATAAATATATATGTATGCACCTATGTATTAAAAAAAGTAGTAAATTTGTGCTAAGGAAACTCAAGGAGACAAGAAAAGGTTATTTTGACTACAGAGGAGTTAGAAGAAACTTAAAGCAGAGGGGTATTAAGCTGAGACTTGGAACACAGACTATGTGTCCCTCTCTCTGCTCTTAATATTCTGTATAGATCTATTATCATTGTGCATATTCCCTGCACATCATCATCATCATCACCATCATCAAAATCATCATCTTTTCTTTGTCTCTCAGCCTCCTGGTCCTTTGAGAGTAAGGTCCACTCCTTATTCATCTTTGTATCTCCTTGACCTTTTATAGTGTTGGACATATTATAAGTCCTCAGTAGATGCTCCCTGAAAGAATGGATGGTACACAGGATGTGGAAACCTGAAAACAGGGAGAAAGGCATTGCCATGCAAAGAAGTGAAGCCCAGAAGCACAAGATCTGTCTAATAATCACTGGCTACAGCCTGTGCATCTAAAAAAGAGGAGTCATAAGGTAGTTGGGACCAGACTCTGGAGAGATTTTCATGTTTGGTTAAGGAATCTGTACTTCATTGGGTAAAAAAGGAGCAACTCAATGAAGGTTTTTGAGGGGAAAAGACCCTCATGATCAGGGGTATTAATCTGACAGTGGCAGAGGGAACAGTCAGGAAGCAGGAATAAGAGTTAGGAGATATGACAAAAGTCCGAGAGAAGAGAAATGAGAACTTCACCATAGTGCCAGCAATAGGGCTGAAGAGGAAAGAATTAGAAGGGCTAAACTTAGCAGACTTGAGAAATTCAGGCAATTAAGTACATATGTGAAAAGGGAGGAACCAGAGATGGAGACAGAGATAGAGATAGAGATAGATAGATAGATAGATAGATAGATAGATAGATAGATAGATAGATAGATAGAGATAGATAGAAAGGAAAATGTGACATGGAAAGATGAGAGTCAAGGAAGCTCATTAATATAAGTCCTGTAGGACAGAAATACATTTCTGTCTATACAGTTATAACATACTGGAATATAAACTCCATGCACAGAGGGATTTTGTCCCGTTTACCACTCTATCCCTAGACCTAGCACAGCATTTGACATATAATAGTGATAGTTACTATTTCTTGGATGCTTACTACATGCTGGGTACTGTCCCAAGCACTTTACAAGTATTACCTTATTTCACTTTCTAATGACCCTACAAGGTAAGTACTATTATTAACACCATATAGATAAGGCACCTAAGACATGGAGAGGTTAAGCAAATTGCCTGAGTTCATATATCCCTTAGGTGACAAAGCCAGAATTCAATCCAGAGCCCACATATGATAAATATTTGTTGAAATATAAAATGGGATAATAAAATTATCATCATTGGGAAGGCTAACAGAATACTTTCTACCTCTCGATCCATTCTCTAAAGAGGAGACGAAAAGCCTTCAAAGATTTGTCTCACTGACCACAAGAGACAGGCTGGGTGAGACACTGCAGTCTGATGTGCAGATACCTCTCATTCAGCCATCTCTGGATCTCTGTGAAGAAATATGAGCTGCTTTACATGTGCTACATAGCTCCTTTTAGCAACACAACCCTGGCACTGTGTGGCAACAAATCATAGATACCTCTGGGTTAAAAAATTATTTTTACTCATTGCCAAATATGGCATAGAGGAACTGTTCTCAAACTATGTTATGCATCAGAATCACCTGAAGGGCCTGATAAAACATAGGTGGCTGCGTCACACCTCCAGGGTATCTGATTCAATAGGTCTGGGGTAGGGCCTAAGAACTTGCTTTTCTAAAAGTTTCCCAGGTGATGGTGATGCTGCTGATTGGAGGGACCAGACTTTGAGGACCACTAGTAGAGAGCATAGGGGATACAATAATGAGGAGGACAAACAGGGTCCCTTCCATATCAAATCTTCACTGCTGTATACAAGATAAGATAATGTGACATGTGAGAAGTACACAGAGAGAACAATAGAGCATAAGAGAAAGCTTCACATCTACAGTAAAAGTTAGCCAGACAGTGAGGAGATCAGTTGAAATAGCATGAGTCTGGGTGAAAAGAGTTTTCAAAGCTGAAAGAAGAGAATGCACAAAGGTTGAGAAGAAAGAAAGTATGTGGCATATCTCAGACACTAAAGTAAATTCAGAATGCCTGAAGCACAGAGCTTGAAATAAAGACGGCTCAGACAAGGCCAATACAGTACGAACTTGAAGGCCATCCTCAGGAGTCAAGAGTTCATTCAGGGGACATGGAGAATCTGAATAATTTTAAACAGGAATAGAACAAGATTATATATGGGTTTTCAAAAATGCAGACTGTACTTTACAGAATGAACTAGCCATGGGCAAGACTGGAGTTGGGAGATTATTAGAAGTGTTTGCAGCACTGGTCATTTGTGATGGACTGAACTGAGGTGGAAGCAGTGAAAGCTAATATATGTAGACATATATGAGATATACTAAAGAGGTAGACTCAAAAGAAATTAACCGTAAGATTTAGGAAATGGGGCCAGAGGTGAATGAAAAATTAAGAATGACACCTTAGATTTTTCCTTGGAAATTGGGGAAATGATGGTCCCTTCATTTACAGGAAACACAATGGAAGGGAGAAAAGTTTCAGGGTATAAGAAGAAACATTGAGTTTAATTTCAGATCTATTGAGTCTCAGATGCCTGTGGCACATTCCAGTGAAGATATCTAATAAGTAGCTTTACATAAAAGTCAAGAGCATGGTGCTAGAGATATATACATTTGGGATCTGTCAGCAAATAGTCAATCACTTTTTAGCCCTTTAGAAAGAAGGAAGAATAAAAGCTATGATCCCTCTATCCAGAAGAATATACGAAGACACATTTTTTTTGGTATGCATGCAATTTTTAAACTTTTAATGGCCTCTTGGGCTTATTCCTTTGACCTCTGAGGGTATGATGGAACTTAGGTTAAGATCTGATATATAAAGCAATTGCACAAATTTATTTAGCCATAACTCTTTTCTTTCGGTATTTCCTAAAAGTCACCTCCAAAATTATTTTTAAAGCTCAAAACAGCAGGTTGTTATTTTCTAATTTTAAAATTAACCCTTTCCCCACAACACATTACCTTTTATATTTCATCACACTTTACATACTGAGTGTGATGGTTAGTTTATAAGATATAATAGCTTAACAATATATCTGGCAACTTATTTAACTCTAGGTTACTTACTGTAGGACTAGGAACACCAGTATCATTTATTGCAAACCAAAACATGTTCTAGTGCTCTAGGGGAGACCCACCAACTGCAAATGGCCCCAGGGATCTGCTGAAATAGAATTATTTTAGGATCCATTTTGGTGCCCTAAGTACTCTCTCATGGGGCTAAATTTCCATCTTAAGAGTTATTCCTTCAAGTTAAGATGATATACACTTAAAAACTAATAAGATGGAAATGTGTTATCTGACTAGAGCAAAACATTAAGCCATTAACACTCCAATAACATTACCAGAAATTAGTTTTTTAGCTAGTGGAACATAGTATGGTGAAGTGATATTTAAAGACCTAACTTTCTATAATGCTTTTGCACCTATTAAAACTCTAGGACTTGGCATCATCTTTCATTGTGGTTAAAAAAAAAAAAAAACCCACACAAGATTAAATTTACCGGCTGGGCACAGTGGCTCATGCCTGTAATCCCAGCACTGTGGGAGGCCGAGGCAGATGGATCACGAGGTCAAGCGATCGAGACCATCCTGGCCAACATGGTGAGACCCTGTCTCTACTAAAAATACAAAACTTAGCTGGGTGTGGTGGCATGCGCCTGTAGTCCTAGCTACTTGGGAGGCTGAGGCAGGAGAACTACTTGAACCCGGGAGGTGGAGGTTGCAGTGAGCTGAGATCGTGCCACTGCACTCCAGCCTGGTGACAGAGCTAGACTCCGTCTCAAAAAAAAAAAAAAAGACTAAATTTACCATCTATTTTTAAGTATATATTTTGTTGTTGTTGTTTTTTGAGACAGAGTCTTGCTCTGTTGCCCAGGTTGGAGTGCAGTGGCGCGATCTCCGCTCACTGCAAGCTCTGCCTCCCAGGTTCACGCCATTCTCCTGCCTCAGCCTCGCAAGTAGCTGGGACTACTGGTGCCCGCCACCATGCCTGGTTAATTTTTTGTATTTTTAGTAGAGACAGGGTTTTACCGTGTTAGCCAGGATGGTCTCGATCTCCTGACCTCGTGATCTGCCCGCTTCGGCCTTCCAAAGTGCTGGGATTACAGGCGTGAGCCACCGTGCCCGGCCATTAAGTATATATTTCAGTAGTGTTAAGCATATTTACACTGTTGTGCAACAATCTCTGGAACTTTTTCACCTTGCAAAACTAAAACTCTATACTCATTAAACACTAATTCTTCCCTCTACCCTCTCTGCCCAGTCCTTGGCAATCACCTTTCTACTTTTTGTTTCTATGATTTTGACTACTTTAGATACTTCATATGAGTGGAATCACATAGTATTTGTCCTTTGTAATTGGCTTATTTCACTTAACATAATGTCTTCCAGGTTCATCCATATTGTAGCATGTGACAAGCCTGCCTTTTACTTAAGCCTGTATGATATTCATTGTATGTATATTCCACAGTTTTTTTTATCCATTCATCTGCCAATGAACATTTGGGCTGCTTCCAGCTTTTGGCTATTGTGAATAACACTGCTATGAACATGGGTGTGCAAATATCTCTTTGAGTTCCTGCTGTGAATTATTTTGGATATATATACTCAGAAGTGGAGTTGCTGGACCATATGGTAATTCTATTTTTAATTTTTTAAGAAACCTTTATACTGCTTTCCATTGTGACTGTACAATTTTACATTCTCACCAACAACACACAAGGGTTCCAATTTCTCTGCATCCTCGCCAACAGTTGTTATATCCTGTTCTTTTGATAGTAGCCATTGTAATGGATGTGAGATAGTATCCCTACAAGCCCAACATTTAACATTTTCAATTTAATTATATGATTACATATTGGACTGTGTCACTAGACAATCCTAGAATTTCTTCTTCAGTGGCACAGGGTCCTGGCATATAACAAACATTTGTCAAATTTATGAATGAATGAAAACGGGACAGAGAATGGATTAACAAGATTTAATACAAAGTATGTACGGTATAGTGTGATTAAGGGCATTTCGTTGTTTTTTGGTCAAGTTCGGTTGAGGCTTCTGCTAAGCTTGGGTAAATAGATTTACTATTATTGTCTTTCTAAAGATGATCCTTGATTTTCAAAAAGCACAGAGAGCAATAATTCTTGATATTTAGACTACAAATTAGTGGCAATAATCAAGATTAATTTATCAGAGACATAGTACAAATCTCTGGTGCACATCAATATTTTTGAACAGAAAGCACAACAGGAACTTGATTCAAATTCCATCCCATCAAACCGATTTCAAAGGAATTGTCAAATAAGTACACCTTCTGCCAAGCAAGCAGGAAGTAGAAAATTACCCAATAAAAGAGAAAAGCCAGAGGATAAAAAGCTTAGTGTAGCCTGTATAAACCTGTCTACTCATTTAAAGGGATGTTATCTTGAAAAGTAAAGTTTTAAGGTAAATAAATGAAAATGCCTGTTTACATAGTTGATAGTAAGGGAGTTTTTTCATACAAACATGTACAGTTTATGAAAGACTTTTAAGTGTAAGTCCCTCTGAATGAAGAGAACATTGTCATGTATCAAGAGTGCTGGTCACTGAGCATTATAAAAAATTTATATGTCATCAACAGCAAGCATTTATTGAGTGCTAGTTAATAGCATATTCTTAACTCATGAAAGTAATTAAGTGCAGCTACTTTCCTCATTTTCAAAATGCCCTTGCCATTTTAAAACCAGAATACTGTGCTAGAATATATGGCTACTCTTCTGACCTTTGCTTCATGTTATGAATAGGATCAAGAAACTTGATTTTCTTTGTATTTAGAGTTACACTTAAGATTTTGAGGCATGAGGTAAGCTAGAAGTTCCAATTAGACAGACTAAGAAATCAACTTTAACATGATAATGGCAACAATCCCACACCCATTTCATCCCCAACATTGCTTCTAAACACTTGGCAAAATAATAGAGTGGCTTTAGTCATTTTCCCAAATATGTGGTCTAACAGTTATTCCTAAACATAGGGTTAACTTGTGTGGGGATCTAGACATCACAAGGCAAATTGGGAAACCTCTCAGAAAATCAGAAAAGCACTTGTGCATCCCAAATTTCTACTAAGCACTTTTTAAATTTTATTGTGGGTTTTAAATGCTTACAGAAAGAATTCATAATACCTATGCACACATACTATACCTATTTCCAATGTTCGAATCCCTTTTTAAAAATATTATTAAATGAATCGTACAATGTACAGAATGACTGCATCCTGTTTAAATAATAAAAATGAATAACTATATATGTATACTATCCAGCTTAATAAAACATTACTGGTACACTTGAATACCTTCATGATACATAACAATGACCAAGACCATATCTACTCCGTAACATACAAAAAATTCTTTTCAAATACTTCATCTTATGTAATGGGAAATTTTTTAGTCTAATGCCTTAAGCATTACCCCTACCTTATAACTACTATCTCCTTTCAATGGTTGCTTGTACCTCTCAAAATTCTTAAGTAGCTCATGGAATATCAAAGGTAGATAATCTTAAATCTGAATTCACTCTACCAATTCTTGTCAGTCTTTTTTCAGATACATAATTGATGGCTCAAATCAAGATGCCTTCCTTTAGCTTAGTCACCACACACACACTCATACACATTCAATCTCTGAAAAGAAAAATATGATTGTCAGTTTAAAGAAATTAGAATTCCTTTAGATGGCAATTAGACAATGTATATTGAAGTTTAACATGTATGTATTTTTGATTTAACAATTTTGCTATTAGGAAATTACTAGGTTAATTTTTACACTTATGTGGAATGACATATGGGAAAGAATGTTCATAGCCAATTCTGAATTCTCTGGAGTACCCCACAGTGCTAAATTACCCACAGCCTGCTATATAACACAATTACCTAATGTCTGCTATAAAACACAATATATATGCCTAAATTTTTTCATAACTTTGACAATAAAATTAGGTCTTATTCTGAAGTCAGTTATATCACTATAGTCATACTGGATACTTCTATTTTAAACCTTCACTTCTTCATTATGCCATCAAATAAATCATTATGCCATTTTCAGTTCTTTTCCACAGAGTATTAAAACTCCCTGGCCAGGCACGGCGGCTCACACTTGTAATCCCAGCACTTTGGGAGGCCGAGGCAGGCGGATCACTTGAGGTCAGGAGTTCAAGACCAGCCTAGCCAGCATGGTGAAACCCCATCTCTACTAAAAATACAAAAATTAGCGAGGTGTGCTGGCATGTGCCCGTAATCCAGCTACTTGGGAGTCTGAGGCAGGAGAATTGCTTGAACCCAGGAGGCAGAGGTTGCAGTAAGCCGAGATTATGCTACTGCACTCCAGCCTGGGCAAAGAAACGAGACTCCGTCTCAAAACAAAACAAAACAACAACAACTCCCCAATTAGAGACTCACAAAATCTTCCTTCTCCCATAGTTATCTACTTTTGTCAAATTTAACCTCCAAAATCACAAATTACATCAGTCATGCTCCTAAAAATATGATAGATCCCCACTGCCTAAGAAGAAAGCCTCAAGTTCTGGCATTCAAAAATCATCCTCCTTCTGACCTGGAGCCTTTCTTCCTTCCTTTAACCACATCCCTCTAGGTAGTAATATTCTAGCCTAGCCAGTCTAACCAACCATTCCCCAATCACAGTGGACAATTTCTTACCTCTTGTCATTACCCATACCAATTACTCTGAGTAGAATGCCCTTTCTACCTATTTTTATTTATCTGAAGTCTATTCATTCTTCATAGCCTAACACAAATAGCTACCTCTTCTCTGTGATATCATTCTACACTAAAAATTAATTGCTCATCTTGTACATTCTCAAAATACTATCACTCTCCATAGCATTTATTTCATCCTGCCATATATTAGAGATCGGGGTCCCCAACCCCCACCTCCAGCCCCATACCAGTCCCATGGCCTATTAGGAAGCAGGCTGCACAGCAGGAAGTGAGCAGTAGGCAAGTGAACGTTACCACCTGAGCTCTGCCTCCTGTCAGATCAATGTTGGCATTAGATTCTCATAGGAATGCGAATCCTATTATGAACTGCACATGTGAGGGACTGAGGCTGCATGCTTCTTATGAGAATCTAATGCCTGATGATCTGAGTGGAACAGTTTCTTGCTAAAACCATTCCCCCACCACCCCATCCTTGGAAAAACTGTCTTCCATGAAACCAGTCCCTGGTGCCAAAAAGGATGAGGATTGCTGTTACAGATTGTTCTGTACATGTTAATCAGGGTCAACTTTCCAGTTATTTCTATATCTTCCTCAGGCACGGTGTTTTATACAAAGCAGGTATTTAATAAGTATTTGTAAACATGTGCTTCTAATGGTTAATTTTTTTCATATATTTCTCAGATCCATAAATCTTTATAAAACTATTTTGGATTCTTAAATAAAATAACTGAACTTCTTGGAATACACGGTCATTTAAAACTCAATAGATTTTTCAGAGGGTTGAAACATGGTAGCCCATTGTCTTTATTTGACCTATCCCCACCCAAATAAAAAAACAAACAAAAAAATTTAACAGTTACCTTTTCAACATCTGAGAGAGAAGTTAGTGACTGATTTTGAAGAACCTCTGGTGCAGTGAATGCTCGAAGATCCTGATTGGAAATATTTTCATCTGTAAATGACACACTACCAGATGGCAGCAACAGCAGAGACCATGGAGAAATGATGAAGCCAAGGGCAGCAGGATCAGCTAGGCTTACTGGTTTGTAATTGCACCAAAATAAAAAATAAAAAAAAAGAAGAAAATTGCTTAAAATTATAATCACAGGAAACAGCAATCACTTCAATGGATAATGCAGCCTATTTGTATAGATGTTAATAAGTAGTTAACATATACCAAATCAACATGCTACAAAAAGATTGGGTTTCATACAAATACAACAGGTAGCATTATTAACAACAATGCCTTGATTTGGCTTAATCTTTCAAAATCTGGATGGTAGATCCTAGAAACTAGAAATAGAGCCCTTTCATTGTTCTTAAGAATTAAACTTGGTTCAAATGTTTTATCAACGTGACATATAGATATGGATAAGGATTAGTAGCTCTTTAATGTTTTTTGAATTATGCATTCCTTTAAGAAATTGGTGAAAGGTGTGGTTTCTCTCTCAAGGACATTGCCCATAAATATAAAGCTCTGTATAAATTCTGAAGTTTTATGGATCTACTTATAACCCATTTATAGATCCCAAGTTAAGATTCCGATTTAGACTATAGTGTTCTGAAATGGATAGAAATCAATTCCTTTGAAAATTCCTGTTAGGCATTCACAAGGTTTCTAACTACAATGAAATGTCTTGAGTCGAAGTATATATTTTGCTTGAATTTAGATTTTATCTTATTTACATTTGTTCATTATTTCACTAGCATTTCAGGCAGCTTGTTTTGTACTACCAAATGTGATCAATGAGGTCCCTTAACTTTTTGTTTTAATGCTTGGCTGTATAGATGCCTAAGAGCTCATACCTAAGAGTATTAACACAAATACATTCCCTAGACACCAGTAGGCCTCCACCTAGAAGTAAAGCTGTACATTAGGCTCAACAAAACAGACTGATTAGAATAAACTTTATTTTGTCCCTCATATAAAAAGTAAGTTAATACAGGTTTTAAGAAAACTGCTAGGTGAACTTGGTTATAGACTCAAGATAATAGCTATAGAAAAATCACAAAAGGCCTATGACTGAAATTCCATTATTCAATCTGAATAAATTATACTGATATCACTCTGTCAAATGATAAGACATTGACAGAAGTTCATGGAAAAGTTTATCATACAGTATCTATACTTTCCTGAAAACAACCAGAACTGAATTTTTTTTAAATCAGGACTGAATCATTCTGACTTTTTAACTTCTACCTATCATCTACATGATCAGAATATGACTTATGATTAAAAAGTAAACTACTAAAAGTCATTCCTCCTTTGAAGGTCAAAAACCTGCATGTTTATGAATCTGAGACATGTCTTTAATAATGGTGTCAAAGAAGAAAAATGTGTTTGAATGCAACTTTTAATCAGTCAGCACATCTTAGGTTGCACTGAAGTGGTGTTATAGACCAATGGTCCTCAAAGCCTTAACCAATCATACATCAGACTTCTGAAACTTGGCTCACAATTGTTATTGCCAAATACATTTCAATGAATCATTTCAATGAATCATCACAGCTCATAATCTTAGGTATATGTTGTCGTATTTTACAGTCACTATACAAGTTTTCTGTTAAAAGCCGCCTCTTAGTTATTTCATACACAGACAACACACAATCTAGCTGGAAAAGAACTGACAAAGCAAAACAATATTTCCCTTGCAAAAAGATACCATTCAAAACCATGAGATTTCATGTCACAGATATCACAAAACAATCTAAAATCAATTTCTGTCAAATTATCAACTAAGGGGAACAAACACTAGGAGACCAATTAGGAAGACAACGCACTAATAATCTGGTGTGAGATGATGATGGCCAATAAGCACAGTGGTGGCAATAGAGGTGGTGAGAACCTGCTGGTAACTGAAGATATTTCAGAGGTAGTGACAACAGAATTTCCTGACAGACTGGATGTGGAGTGACAGAAAAAGAGGACTCTGGATGACATCAAAGTTTTGATCTGAGTAATTAAAAGGACAGAGTGCCATCAACAGAGATTGTCTAAAATAGTGCAGGCTGCTGAGGTGGGGGTTAGGAGGTGGTGGCAGGAATTAGAACTTTGGAACCTATTACATTTAAGATATCTGTTATACATTTGAATGGGGATGTCAATTAGGCAATTTGATCTGAAATGTGGGATAAAGATCACAACTGCAGATATATTTTGGGAGTTGCTGGCCTACTAGATGGTATTTAAAGCCATGTGACTTGATGAGGTCACCAAAAAAAAAAAAAAAAAGAATTAAGATAGAAAAGAAATGAAGACCAAGGACTGAGCCCTAGGGTACTCAAACACAAAGACTGCGCCTTCTCGGTTTTTTATTTTTTTCCAGATTCTTCCTCTTCTCTTGGGGACTGATGCATGTATGGTGCTGTAACATCCCTCTAACACTTCTTTCGCTCACTACTGCCAATCTCCATCCCACTATTTTAATTAATTCTACTTACTAGACTTTCTGTCCAGTTCTCCAGTACCTAAGTCCCGAATCTAAGTTAGGAAGCTGGGATTCTAACTGTCATGGCTAATTCCAGATTGTCTTTCTTTTGGAGGCAAAATTATGATTTTGAGTGTAACTGTTACCATTTCAAATTTATAAATGATTGCGGATCACAGCTAACACAGAGGCCTGAATGCCACCTAGAAGCCTAAATGCTATGCCCTGTCCCTGTCCTGTCACTGTGGATTCTGGTATCCACCCAGACCAGAAAAGGCTTGCTACATTCTTCCTTTTCATCCCTGGATACAGACTGACCCTCTCCCCTCCTCAGCATGGTAGCACCAATCAGAACTGCTGAAGGTGAAAGCAATTCATAATTCCTTATCACTCTAAAATGTAGAGATTTATTCACTTACCAGGACAACCAAGGTCAGTAAACTGATAATTACTCTGTTAAGAACTATATGTATCTCTCCTTTTTTATTAAGTTGTATTTTGTTTTTAATGGACATATAATCATACTTATTTATAGCGTACAGTGTAATGTTTTGGTACATATGTACAATGTGTAATGATGAAACTATATATTTCAACTTTTATACAATATGTTGTTTGCTTTTATTGAACATTTAAAGTATATCTTTATTTTAAGCACTATATATATATATATATATATATATATATATACATCTTCTTCCCAACATTACAGGTCATTTGCTAATAGAGTCTAAAGTATTATTGGGGAGATAATACATACATAAATACAAGATAGAAAGTATTAGGTATCTAAGAAAAAAAAGAGTTTGGAGGATAGCCAAATTACTTCAACTACAATAAAGAATTAATTTCTTATTTTATATGTGGCCCTTTAATAGGTAAGACTTGACCATGGCTAAGGTTAGGATTCAAAAAAGAAGAAACGGCCAAAGCAAAGGCATGTGGGTCAGGAAGTTACTAAGTTTGTACAAGGAACAGCAAGAATTTTGGGCAGAGAAATGGTGAAGAGCAGTGAGAAACAGAATTACCAAGGAGGATCATACTTTTGCTTGTTAAAAAAATACAGACAGGCTGGGCGCAGTGGCTCATGCCTGTAATCCCAGCACTTTGGGAGGCTGAGGTGGGCAGATCACCTGAGGTCAGGGGTTCAAGACCAGCCTGGCCAACATAGAGAAACCCCGTCTCTACTAAAAAAAAAAAAAAAAAAAAAAAATTAGCTGGGCGTGGTGGTGGGTACCTGTAATCCCAGGTACTCGGGAGGCTGAGGCAGGAGAATCACTTGAACCTGGGAGGCAGAGGTTGCAGTAAGCCAAGATCACACCACTGCACTCCAGCCTGGGTGACAGAGTGAGACTCTGTCTCAAGAAAAAAAGAAAAGAAAGAAAACAAAAATGAGAAATTACACAAATATTTTCAAATGTGATTTTTTAAATGGCTTGTAATAAAGTTAAAGAAACCGTGACAACAAACTACATTGCTGTCAAATTCCGTAAACACACACATGACATTTACGTACTGGATTCTTGAGAAAACATAGTCAAACCACAGAAAATATTTTAAAATAATTTTAAAGGGTTATGCAAACCTGCAAGTGAGGGAATTTAGAGTTGTGGCTAGAATCAGTCTTTAATTCACTCATCTTGTCTAACTAAAAGGAAGAAATTTAAAGCAAATGTATTTAAAATCCTTCAAAAAAATGCTAACAAAAGAATATTTAAAAATGAGATTCTAGAAGCTTATAATTCCGTGTACTGTGTTTTAATTGTGTGTTGACTGCATTCAAGAATGCTATTATGAAAGAGTAAATCTGATATGAATTGATTCCAGTAGTCTAATGATTATATTTATAGATTTTACCAACATTCCACAGAAAAGTTGCTAAACATAATTTCAAGCAGCTAGAGGCAAGGTTAAGGATAAGCAGAAATTTGATATGCAAACACCTTAGAGCTTCTTTCCAATGTTCTTTTAAACTAAGATCATTTTATGTTCATCCATTTTTTTCCCTGAGGGTTCTTGCCATTTCCTTTAGATTGTCCCCTTATTTTTCATCTTCCACACATACTATTAAAAATTAGGGAAATAATCTTAACTAGGCAACAAACATGGTAAGGAAACACTAATCAAAAGTATCAGGAAACCATTTTGAGACTTAGAACAACAATGACATGATTTTGATCTGAAAAATCCCTTTGCATATTCAGGCACAAGAAATTGTAGTCTTCCTATTTTATACGTTCTATTAGGGTGTCTGGCAAAAATGTATGCAGAGGCCGCTGTTCCAAACTCTGAAGGATTTGACAAAGTCCCTCTATAATATGGAATTCCCTAAAAAATTCAGTCCATATGTTCATAACAATACATACATTGTTAAATCAATAATCTGGTATAACAATGCACAAATAGAAAATAAATGGTTCAGAATAGTTCCCCTACATTTTAACATTTTCTTGATAGTTTTGTCATAAATTATTTAAGGTTCACTGGAAATTGTAGTATATGCTAGAAGTTGATTACAAAATAAAGCTGTATTAATTCCTCAAAAGTTTTGTTACTACTTAAAAAAAAAACTTGTTTCTCTGATACCATAAAGGATAAAACAGCAATCCCTTATTGAAAATAAAATTGTGTAAATGATTGAAATTGATATCTACAATAATGTAAATTGATAATCATAGTCTCTTTAAAGACATTTTACATTTAAGTTTTCTTGGTATAGATAATCATGCAACATCATTTACTAAACTCCTATGAACTTTTGGTTCTCAAGAATTTATATTCTGGTGGTAGTTGGTCAGATCTTGCTAATCATCCAAATCCCTAAACTCACCTAGAAGATTTGGAAAGATACTGATATAGGAGTTTAAAAAGAATTATTTAGGCAGATAGTGAGAGTAAGGAAGTCCTCAGTAAGGTATTCCTTTAATGAAAAGCAGTACCAAAATCATTTTCTTTTCTAACAGAGAGTAGCCCGTACAATTGAGCTGCAGACGGACAAGCAAGCTGGAAGCTTGCATAGGTGAATACTGGCAGCTGTGCCAATAGGAAAAGGTTACCTGGGACTAGGCATGTTCAAAATGGCGGCTCCATCTTCCCTTCTCTTTGCCAGCCACCTGTACAGCAAGTAGCAGACAACATGGTGCCAGCCAAGTGGAAAGTCCATTTGCATAATAAGATTAGGGCGGGGTGGCCACCCTTTACCACGTGCTATGTAAACATCACACCTGGTCCAGCCAATCTGTGGGTCCTATGTAAATCAGATATCGCCTCCTCAAGCCTGCCTACAAAATTTGGTACACTCCCATTCTGGGCTGAAATTCCAATTCGGGAGTCTCTTTTTCTTCTCTCTCTCTAGAAAAAAAGAAAATGTTTTTGTAACCCTGTTTTCACATATTTCTCCTAGAATAAAAGTGGTTTAAGGATACAAATTATAATTTCCCTAAAGATCAGGTACAATGCCATTATAATTAATTGAAATATTTGCAAAAATTAGTTTCCCATTTTAAGTCTATACCACAGGTCCACAACCTTTTTAAGCTGCTCTTCTAAAGAGAGAGAGAGAAGAGAGAGAAGAGAGAGAAGAGAGAGCTGTTCTTTCTCTTTCCTTTGCCTATTAAAACCTCTGTTCCTAAACTCACTCCTTATGTGTGTCCCTGTCCTTAATGCAAGTCTACGAACCTCGGGTATTTACCCCAGACAATGACGCTGCTTCAATATCAGAGAAACTTGTCAGCTTCATTTCATTCTTTTTATAGTAGCTGACTTCAGTAATTTAGTATGTAGTCTCATTTTACTGAGAGACAGTATAGTGTAAGCCAGAATCCCTGGGTTCAAATCCCAAGTTTGATATTTATGGTTTATACAGTGATCTTCAGTGAGTTATTTAGCCCCTCTGTGCCTGCATTTCCTTATTTATAAAAATCATTGTTACATCATAGGTAAGGCTGCTGTGAGGATTAAAGAAAAAAACAAAAACCAAAACTAAAGACTTAGAACGGTTCCTGGCATACAGCAGTAAGTGCCATATAAAAGTGGTGACTATTATTATCTAATAAACCTTTTCTCAGAGATACCAGATGTAGACTACATGTCTAAGAAAAGTCACTCCTTGAATTTTTCCTCAATCACCTACTTAGCATTTTCCCCCCACAGAAGACAAAGAGCATATCATCCATGACAAGTACTGTAGTTCCAGAATAATAGATCTAATTCTCAAACCGTTCTATTCTAGATCTTTGGGAAATTTTTTGGCATCTTTTACGTAGAAAAAAATATTAGAAATACAAATGATTTAAGGTACAAAGTATCCTAAAATATCAATTTGTTCTTTAATTAATTTCTTGGGGAATATCCTTTTTGTAAGTAGTCTATTTATTACTTATTACATGATATTCCTAGTTAGCACAGATCCTCAACTTAGAACAATTGCTTTAAGATTTGACGATCAAACCAATTAGTACTTATTGAGTAACTACATTTGTCAAATTGGTGTTTTACTATACATAGTCATTAACTTTAGGTAAAACATGACTTATTAAATGAAGACATTTATTTGAATGCACATGATCAGTACAGTATCAGCATATAGTTTTAGAAATTTTTATTTGTAATACAAGTTGCAATATTCTAATAACATGAAATCATGCAAACATGTTACTCCAAATTGGTCTGTTTTATGAATAGGAGATAAAAGATATTTTTATTTCTTAATGATGACATTAGCCACACAAACACACACATTTTCTCTCTTTTTAAAATGACTAAACACATGCAAGCTGCTTGCTCAAACCACAACCACTGGAATGCTGGTATGGCTACTGATCAATTAGGCTTCCAGTAGTTGTGTTTTGTTATGTACTTCCAGAACTATGCTACTTGGCAACAAAACACTAATGAAACAAGTGATATACAGACAATCTATATTAGTAAAACCAAATTGGTTATTATTAAAAGTAACAAGGCTTAAGTGATGGGACAACGTGGATAGAGGGAAGCAGGTCTCTTGATTTCTTGGCCACTATATTAGTAAAACCAAATTGGTTATTATTAAAAGTAACAAGGCTTAAGTGATGGGACAACGTGGATAGAGGGAAGCAGGTCTCTTGATTTCTTGGCCACCTGATTCAAGTAGCATGAAAGAAATAGTAGCAGTTCCTTTCATTCCTCCTTCCTAATAATGTGCTGAGGAGCTGCTCACTTTATTCCTTTGAAATACTATGTTCTTCCTCTTTGATTTGCCTTTCACTTCCACCTTTTCCACCAACTGCTTTATGCTTACCATCAATAAAAACTGTATCTCCCAAAATTACATGCCAAAATACTGAAAAAAAGTTTTTGTAACTCTGTTTTCACATATTTCTTCTACAATAAAAGTGGTTTAAGGATACAAACTATAATTTCTCTAAAGATCAGGTACAATGCCATTAGAATTATCTAATTGAAATATTTGCAAGAAAAAGAATTTGTTTCCCATTTAAAATCTATACCACAGGTCCACAACCTTTTAAAGTTGCCTTTCTGCCCTGCTTGAGAATAACTTACTAATTTAGACTTTGCTGACCACACACACACAAAAATTTTGAAGTTCCACTATCAAGAAAAGCAAAGTTTTCTTTCAACTTTCAGATACCAGAAACTGTATAAATTATTCACCCAGAAAATACTCTTGATCTTTATTCTCTAATCTCTTTTAGTTACATTTTCAAGTATGATTTAAGATAAGAGTCAGCTTGGCTTATTTGAATACTGAAACAAACTTATTTACAATGTCTGACTTTGGGAGTTTAAGGTAATTAAGAAATTACGCAGGCTTTCTGTTTCCTGATCCACTGAGGACTTTGGTGTGAATTCTGGAGACAGAGTACAGGAATCTACACAGTATTTTTAAAAAGTTTCCTGGAGATTCCAATATGTGTACCAACCTATCCTACACACAAATGAAAACCACTGCTCTCATTAGGGACATTAAAATGGTATCACTAATTAAGTTGCTTCTTGATCTTGTACTTGCTCCAATTATATGTCAATTAACTGGTATTAAGTACATAAAATGAGGTATGTATGACTTTATATCCTTTCCTGATGCTTTTTGTTTGTTTTACAGCTTACAAAGCTGTAAGTAAGGCATTTTACAGGAGATACAGCTAGCCAAAAAGTGTTACAAGTAACTATTTTATCCAAATTATAATTACATTATTTTATTAGAAAGGCAGAATAACTATCAGTAATTTCCAACTACAAATGAGACCTAAATAGCTCTTCTCTATTTATAATATGGAAGCTGATTAAAGAGCACCAATTTGAGACTGCCACTGACATTTAGAAATAAATTGCCTTATCCACTGATGGGGTTCAGAACATGCTGCCCCATAATTATGGCACCTTGGTATTTGAGAAAACCACGGAAGCAGGAAGGTCACTCTCTGACCTTCTCCCACCCTTTTCCTCTGAAATAGGTCATAAGACCTTCATTCAAGAGGTGCCCTTTGTATAGCTGGAGGAAAGAAACATCCTCATCTCTGAAGACACAGGGACGCAAAGAAGAATCTGATCAAAAAGGCCTTGCTAAGTTTCCCCCAGTTTATTACCATTAGATCACACTTTGTTATCCAATTATACTCTCAACTTCATCCACTTCTCCATCAAACAGTGCAAACCCCCCCATGGGTTTAATTGTACCTTCGGGTTTTCAATTCCAAAGGCTCTTGTGTTATACAAAACTTATATACCATAAATTTGTATGCTTTTCTCTTGTTAATCTGTCTTTTATTATAGGGGCCTCAGCCATGAACCTAGCAATGGGTAAGAAAGAGATACTTCTTTTCCCCTACACCACTTAATTAAACATTAATTTCATTTGGCTTTTTCTATCTCATTCCCAAAGTAAAGCAAACTACAAATGAACTTCCTAAGCATTTTGTTTCTTCTGTAACACTTTCTATATTTACTCATTTATTTTTAAGAGTTGGGGTCTCACTCTGTCACCCAGGCTGGAGAGCAGTGGTGCAATCATAGCTGGCTGCATCCTCAAACTTCTGGGCTCAAGCAATCCTCCTGCTTCTGCTTCCAAGTAGCTGTAGTAAGTGCCTGTTATCCAACACGTTCTATAAACCAATATCCATAACGTATGAGGTGAGCACCTTTAATCTCTCACCCTGTCTGATATACAAATGCATTATTAGGCATATAACCAGTACCTCAAGGTCATGGAATTAATATCAATTTTTTATTTTCCTGAAGAGTATCCAAACTTTGAGAGCAAAACTACTCTATGTATGTGTAATATTTTAGCTGCAGACTTCTAAACGACAGTTTGCTTAAAAGTGGTTTCTTTTTAAAAATATAACAGCTGGGCACGGTGGCTCATGCCTGTAATCCCAGCACTTTGGGAGGCCGAGGCAGGTGGATCATGAGGTCAAGAGATGGAGACCATCCTGGCCAGCATGGCAAAATCCCATCTCTACTAAAATTATAAAAATTAGCTGGGCGTGGTGGTGCGTGCTTATAGTTCCAGGTATTTGGGAGGCTGAGGCAGGAGAATCACTTGAACTTGGGAGGCGGGGGTTACAGTGAGCCGAGATTGCACCACCACACTCCAGCCTGGTGACAGAGTGAGACTCCGTCTCAAATAAATAAATAAGAAATAAATAAGAAATAAAAATATAACAATCATATCTTATTTGACCACCCTATTAAAGCAGCTATAAAAATGTTAACCATGAATGGTAAATTCTATTTAAAAACTTGATCTTATTGTTAGCTTAACAATTTTGTCAAAGCAATTTTGGAATGATGTGCTAAGCCTTTTAAAATGCTAGCATTTCTGTTGCCACCTAGCAATTTCATTAAGCCTCTGTAGATTTTACAGCTGCCACATTACATTTTGCCAGACAAAATAAACTACAACAGAGATAATTACCAGTAAAAAAAAGTTTTACAGTAAAGGACTTTTATAAAGCAGCAGGTTTTAAATTTTTTTTTATTTTTGCAAGTGCAGACAAAGTTTCAAGTTAAAAGAGATCTTTTTTCTTCCATCTCTGCAATCTGCATAAATCTTGGGGTTGGGGGTGTAAGAGGAGCAGACACAAAATTTAAAGAATAAACTCAGTGATTTCATTTTACTTTCAAGGGCCTGAAATTTACACAAAGACAGAAACACCTATAATATCAAAGATGATGACTGGCATTGATTTCATTTTTGGAGAATTGGATGAAAAGGTCAATGAGGAATAGTGTATATTTTTAGCTTCCAGAGGAAAATACATATATCTTTGCAGAGCGGAACTGGCTTTGACTTGTGATGACATGGTTCCATGTAAACATGATCTGTAGGAACTCATGAAAAATATTTTTCTGATCACTAATGCCATTCTCTGCTGCTATTGACATAACTCCCTCACCCCTCTCTGCCTTGCCACTTACCTTGTAAAGACATTTTCCTTCTCAAAAAGAAAAGGAGGAAGGAAGATTATTTGAATGGTAAACTATTCAATTTTTTTAAAATAGTATACATTTCTTATAAAAATGCTAACTATGACTGACACACATCACCCCAAGAAAGTAAAATTTTAACTTGTTACTAAATGATACAAGGTGTAAAGCTCTTTTTTAATTTCTATATTGGAGAAAAGATATTGAGAAATACTTGTAAAATGTTTTCTGTAAAAGCCTTAGTCACAAAATCTGAATGTCTCACAGAATGTTGAGTAAAAGAAGTCAGACACCCAAGAGTTTACATTGTATGATTCTATTTTTATGATGTCCAAAACCAGGCAAATATTATCTGTGTGATATGTCATAGCAGTGATTACCCTTGGTAAACAAGAATTGACTAGGAGGGAACATGAGGGAGACTTCTAGGTGCTGAAATGCTCTGAATCTGGGTGGTAATTGTATGAGTGCATACATTCATAAAATTAATCAGGCTGTACAATTAAGAATAATGCTGTTTGCAATATATGTTATACCTCAACAATAATAAAGTCTCTGTTAAGTATAAAAATTTAAACAATAAATATAGTGAGTAAAAGTAACATTTATCACCAAGGATAGGACTAGAGAAGATGAACTGTAGCAACTCTCCTATCTAACTGCATGGCTATTTAAATATATAAAACTGGCTGTTTAGAACATCTGAAGTCAAAATAGTTTTAAATTAAAACACAGTGTATTGACTGTGTTTGTGGGGAAGGGGTAGTTTGCTACAAGTGTGTCATATACTTATCAAATAACCTACATTATTCATATTAAGCATGTTATATATTAAATTTAATTTTGTATTTTATAGTTTGTTTCCAGGGAACAAATGCGTAATTTCACACAGTTCAAACACATTTAACTTAAGGACATGTTAATTCTGGAGTTACGAATGCAGGGCAAGATGTAGCATGTCAAAGACAACTAATACACCCTCTTAATCAACAAAATTATGGCTATAGATAAAAAGGAATATAATAATTAAGGCACTAGTTAGAATTTGATCTTTTAAAAGCTGCATACCCTGTACAAAGATTTACTTTAAAACTTTTAATCCATAAAAACTTTCTATATTTCCTATAAAGTCTTTTTTTTAAAAAAAAACCTCAGGAATTCAATTTGAAGTTCATGCTTTGGCTCTCTTCTTATGCTTTAATCGTGTTACTTATTCTCCTTTGTTTCTACCAGATGGGAAGTTTTACACTTTCTTTTTTATTTTGTGATTATTGCTAAAAACTTTAAGGATATTTGAACTATGCAAACTCTAAGGCAAATTATTGCTATTCTCATAAACAGATCGACCCTTAGACTGCTTTAACTCCTATCACCGACATCAGTCTCACATACTACTGTTTTACTTATAATTTTAAATTTGAGATGATTGCTGTTGATGTTTTATACAGCCATTGATTGCTTAGATTGATCATCAAGTTGACTGATTATTTTGCTTATTGTTCCTTCTTGAACCTTTTACTTCCTTCTGGGTTATATTTCCTTCTTCTTGAAATACATAAGTACTCACAGTTTTCATATGAAAATGTTTTGTTTTGACCTTAATCTTGAACCAAAGTTTAGAAAGACATCAAATTCTATCTGTACATTCCAATGCAGTGGCTATCAGGCACGTGTGGCTTTTAAGTTTTTTTCTTTTTTTTTTTTCTGTTGTTGTTGTGGTTGTAGTTTGAGACTTTGAGTCTTACTCTGTCACCCAGGCTGGAGTGCGGTGTCACCATCTCGGCTCACCGCAACCTCTGCCTCCCAGGTTCAAGTAATTCTCCTGCTTCAGCCTCCTGAGTAGCTGGGACTACAGGCGTGCACCACCATGCCCAGCTAATTTTTGTATTTTTAGTAGAGACGGGGTTTCACCATGTTGGCCAGGCTGGTCTTGAACTCCTGACATCAAGTGATCCGTCCACCTTGGCCTCCCAAAGTGCTGGGATTACAGGTGTGAGCCACTACACCTGGTCACTTTTAAAAATTTGAAATGTGGCTTCAGAAACTGAGGAATTGAGTTTTTAATTTATTTAAAATTTAATTTCAGATGAATACTTAATCAGATATTGGAAAACTTCTAAGTATGCTTGTAACAACTTAGGTATGTAAATTACTTTTTCATCTG
Organism: Homo sapiens; assembly: GCF_000001405.40. NCBI lineage: Eukaryota > Metazoa > Chordata > Mammalia > Primates > Hominidae > Homo > Homo sapiens. The sequence continues at coordinate 86,659,381 of NC_000004.12, read as the reverse complement.
TATTTTTTATGAAATATAAATATTTTTGATAAAATTTAGAGTCTGAATTGGCATATGTTATGAGTGTTAGATTTTGATGACTTAGTACAAATAAAGTGTACAACATATTATTAACACTTTTTCATACTGGTTACATATGAAAATGATATTTTTAGTATATTGGATTAAATAAAATACAGAAATCAATTTCATCTATCTCTTTTCATCCTTCTAATGCAGGTCATAGAGAACATTAAATTATATATGATGTTTATGATATTTCTATTAGACAATGTTATTCTAGGTTGTTATAGTGATAATATTTTCTCTTTTTCCTTAAAATAATTATGATGTATCCTCACAGCAGTTTTAAGATTTTATTTCTTAGTGAAATTAAGTAGTTTTAAGAATTTATTTAATTCTACCAAATTCTGACCTTATTTTTACTGTTCAGTCTGCTCTTAGCTAATTCCTTTTTCTTTGTAGATAATTCAGCTTTCTTTTTCTCTCTGACTGCTTTAAAAACCTTCTCCTTGTTTATGGTGTCCTGTATTTCCAATCCCATTAATCTACGTGTAGAATTTTTTTTAAAATTTTGACTGTGCCTTAAGCTTCTAGAATTTGAAGATCTATATATTTTATCAGCTCTCAAAAATTATCAACTATTATATCTTCATTAATTGTTCTGTTTCCTATCCTCTTGGTTTTCCTTCTGGAACTCAGAGGTATGTTGGACCTTCTCATTGAATGCTTCATAAACCTAAACTCTCTCATATTTTTAGTATTAGGGTGATCTCTTCAGCACTATTTTCTATTTTACTAATTTTCTCTTTGAAAAGAAAACAGAAGTTTTTAAAAATAACCAGGAAGTAGGAGACAGAGCAAGATGGCCAGATAGAACCCTGAGCAATAATCCCCCATCAGGAACACTAAATTGAACAACCATCCATGCAAGAAAGCATCTTCATAAGAACAAAAAGATCAGGTGAGTGATAAAAGTACCTATGTTCAAACCAGGTACTTTTTATCAAGGAAAGAGGCATTCAAGAATGTAGGAGAGACAGTCTTGCATTGACTACAGCAATCCCAGGCAGTGCATTGAGGAGACAGAGTCTATGTGCATGGAGGAGAGAGTGAAGTTAGTGGGGGACTTTACAATGGAGCTCAGTGCTGCTCTGTCATAGCAGAACACAACACAGGTAGGAATTCCGTCAATGCCTATGGAGGGAGCATTCAGACTACCAGTGGGCCACAGGGGAATCCCCAACTCCAGCGAGAAGAACCCAGTTTCAGGCCAGTGGGGCTTCCCCACCAGCTGACTAAAGTGGCCTGGATCACAGAATAAATTTGAGTGGCAGTCAGGCCACAAGGACTGCAGTCCTCAGGCAAACGCTGGTGCTGCACTAGTCTCAGAGGCAGTGGACTTGGAATGCAACCCAGGGCAAAACCAACTGTGGCAGCTAAGGGAGTGCCTGTATCACCCCTCCCCAGTTCCAGGCAGTGCAGCTCTTGGGGAGACATCTTCTATGTGGAGGATGGAGTGGGAAGAGCACAGAGGACTTTGTCTTGCAACTTGGGCACCAGCTTAGCAGATTCCCGAAGCCCCCAATTCCAAGTCTTTGCTCCTAGATGGTGTTTCTAGACCCATTCTGGGCCAGAAGAAAATGCACTGTCCTGATGGAAGAGACTCAGTCCCAGCAGGATTCACCACCTGCTGACTAAAGTGGTCATGGTCCTTGAATAAACATCAGCAGCAGCTAGGCGGTAGTGGCTACCAGTACTGGTGAACTCCAGTACTGTGCTGGTCTGCAAGCCTTCAGGTGAGACTCTGTAGTGTCAGCTGTGGTGATCACAGGAAAGTCTGTGTCACCTCTCCCTCAACTCCAGGCAGCCTAGTACAGAGAGAGGTTCCTTCTGACTGGGGAAAAGAGAGAAAAGAGAGCAAGTGACTTTGCCTGCTAACCTAGGGAATCTTCCTTATCTTATCCAAGTTCACCAAGGCAGTGTATTTAGGGGTCTGCAAGAGTTGCAGTGAGGGCAGTTCCAAGATGGCCGAATAGGAACAGCTCCAGTCTATAGCTCCCAGCGTGAGCGACGCAGAAAATGCAGAGACATTTCCAACTGAGGTACCGGGATCATCTCACTGGGGCTTGTCAGACAGTGGGTGCAGGACAGTGGGTGCAGCCCACCGAGCATGAGCCGAAGCAGGACGAGGCATCACCTTACCCAGGGAAGTGCAAGGGGTCGGGGAATTCCCTTTCCTAGCCAAGGGAAGCTGTGACAGATGGCACCTGGAAAATTGGGTCACTCCCACCCTAATACTGCACTTTTCCAACGGTCTTAGCAAACGGCACACCAAGAGATAATATCCTGCTCCTGGCTTGGAGGCTCCCACGCCCACAGAGCCTCGCTCACTGCTAGCACAGCAGTCTGAGATCAAACTGCAAGGCGGCAGCGAGGCTCGGGGATGGGCGCCTGCCATTGCTGAGGCTTGAGTAGGTAAACAAAGCAGCCAGGAAGCTCGAACTGAGTGGAGCCCACCCCAGCTCAAGGAGGCCTGCCTGCCTCTGTAGACTCCACCTCTGGGGGCAGGGCATAGCCAAACAAAAGGCAGCAGAAACCTTTGCAGACTTAAATGTCCCTGTCTGACAGCTTTGAAGAGAGCAGTGGTTCTCCCAGCATGGAGTTTCAGATCTGAGAACAGACAGACTGCCTCCTCAAGTGGGTCCCTGACCCCCGAGTAGCCTAACTGGGAGGCACCCTCCAGTAGGGGCAGACTGACACCTCACACAGCCGGGTACTCCTCTCAGACAAAGCTTCCAGAGGAACGATCAGGCAGCAACATTTGCTGTTCTGCAGCCTCTGCTGCTGATACCCTGGCAAACAGGGTCTGGAGTGGACTTCCAGCAAACTCCAACAGACCTGCAGCTGAGGGTCCTCACTGTTAGAAGGAAAACTAACAAACAGAAAGGACATCCACACCAAAACCCCATCTGTACGTCACCATCATCAAAGACCAAAGGTAGATAAAACCAGAAAGATGGGGATAAAACAAAGCAGAAAAGCTGAAAATTCTAAAAACCAGAGGGCCTCTCCCACTCCAAAGGAGCACAGCTCCTTGCCAGAAACGCAACAAAGCTGGATGGAGAATGACTTTGACGAGTTGGGAGAAGAAGGCTTCAGATGATCAAACTTCTCTGAGCTAAAGGAGGAAGTTGGAACTCATCGCAAAGAAGCTAAAAACCTTGAAAAAAGATTAGACAAATGGCTAACTAGAATAACCAGTGTAGAGAAGTCCTTAAATGACCTGAAGGAGCTGAAAACCATGGCACAAGAACTACGTGATGCATGCACAAGCTTCAGTAGCCGATTAGATCAACTGGAAGAAAGGGTATCAGTGACTGAAGATCAAATAAATGAAAAGAAGCGAGAAGAGAAGTTTAGAGAAAAAAGAGTAAAAAGAAACTAACAAAGCCTCCAAGAAATATGGAACTATGTCAAAAGACCAAATCTACGTCTGATTGGTGTACCTGAAAGTGATGGGGAGAATGGAACCAAGTTGGAAAACACTCTGCAGGATATTATCCAGGAGAACTTCCCCAACCTAGCAAGGCAGGCCAACGTTCAAATTCAGGAAATACAGAGAATGCCACAAAGATACTCCTCGAGAAGAACAACTCCAAGACACATAATTGTCAGATTCACCAAAGTTGAAATGAAGGAAAAAATGTTAAGGGCAGCCAGAGAGAAAGGTCGGGTTACCCTCAAAGGGAAGCCCATCAGACTAACAGCTGATCTCTCAGCAGAAACTCTACACGCCAGAAGAGAGTGGGGGCCAATATTCAACATTCTTAAAGAAAAGAATTTTCAACCCAGAATTTCATATCCAGCCAAACTAAGCTTCATAAGTGAAGGAGAAATAAAATCCTTTACAGACAAGCAAATGCAGAGAGATTTTGTCACCACCAAGCCTGCCCTAAAAGAGCTCCTGAAAGAAGCACTAAACATGGAAAAGAACAACCGGTACCAGCCACTGCAAAAACATGCCAAATTGTAAAGACCATCGATGCTAGGAAGAAACTGCATCAACTAACGAGCAAAATAACTAGCTAACATCATAATGACAGGATCAAATTCACACATAACAATATTAACCTTAAATGTAAATGGGCTAAATACTCAAATTAAAAGACACAGACTGGCAAATTGGATAAAGAATCAAGACCCATCAGTGTGCTGTATTCAGGAGACCCATCTCATGTGCAGAGACACACATGGGCTCAAAATAAAGGGACGCAGGAAGATCTACCAAGCAAATGGAAAACAAAAAAAGGCAGGGGTTGCAATCCTAGTCTCTGATAAAACAGACTTTAAACCAACAAAGATCAAAAGAGACAAAGAAGGCCATTACATAATGTTGAAGGGATCAATTCAACAAGAAGAGTTAACTGTCCTAAATATATATGCACCCAATACAGGAGCACCCAGATTCATAAAGCAAGTCCTTAGAGACCTACAAAGAGACTTAGACTCCCACACAATAATAATGGGAGACTTTAACACCCCACTGTCAACATTAGACATATCAATGAGACAGAAAGTTAACAAGGATATCCAGGAATTGAATTCAGCTCTGCACCAAGCAGACCTAATAGACATCAACAGAACTCTCCACCCAAAATCAACAGAATATACATTCTTCTCAGCACCACATCACACTTATTCCAAAATTGACCACATAGTTGGAAGTAAAGCACTCCTCAGCAAATGTAAAAGAACAGAAATTACAACAAACTCTCAGACCACAGTGCAATCAAACTAGAACTCAGGATTAAGAAACTCACTCAAAACCGCTCAACTACATGGAAACTGAACAACCTGCTTCTGAATGACTACTGGGTACATAACGAAATGAAGGCAGAAATAAAGATGTTCTTTGAAACCAATGAGAACAAAGACACAACATACCAGAATCTCTGGGACACATTTACAGCAGTGTGTAGAGGGAAATTTATAGTACTCTCTGATGGTAGTCTGTATTTCTGTGGGATCAGTGGTGATATCCCCTTTATCATTTTTTATTGTGTCTATTTGATTCTTCTCTCTTTTCTCCTTTATTAGTCTTGCTAGCGGTCTATCAATTTTGTTGATCTTTTCAAAAAACCAGCTCCTGGATTCATTGATTTTTTTGAAGGGTTTTTTTGTGTGTCTATCTCCTTCAGTTCTGCTCTGGTCTTAGTTATTTCTTGCCTTCTGCTAGCTTTTGAATGTGTTTGCTCTTGCTTCTCTAGTTCTTTTAATTGTGATGTTAGGGTGTCAATTTTAGATCTTTCCTGCTTTCTCTTGTGGGCATTTAGTGCTATAAATTTCCCTCTACACACTGCTTTAAATGTGATAAGAGCTATCTTATAGTTTTAAGATGATCCAAAGCTAAAAATCCTGGAGTTTTGATATGTTAAACTTTACATTTTATGCATTGAAGTTTAGGTACACATCACAGCTTTAAGTTAAATATTCGTATCTGCACCACAGATGTTTCTTAATAAAGCTCTGCTTTTCAATGTCTTTAGTTACTTTTCAATTTTCTAGAAATATTTATTCTGGAAAAGATTTTCTGAAGTTGTATTTCTTCTTAGTTTTTTAAAAAATAATACAAATAAAGGTTTCTCTTTTTAAATATATACACACTGTGATCACTTCTTTTGAAGCAAATGGCCAGTTGCTGCATGCAATGTTGAATTTATGTTTGGAGTATTTTATATTATGGACTTCTGAAAACAATGGTTTGAAATTTCTGCTTTTTGAATCATGAGTTGTGAACTGGACTTTCAAGTTGCATATTAGGTGCATGTTTTTCTGTGAATGGTTAATAAAAAACAATAAACACAAAATCAAAAAAAAAAAAAAGAGTTGAGGCGCTCCGGAGCTTAGGGCGCCCCCTAGTGCTGAAATGGCTGCAGTAATTGCAGGCTTAGATCACAATACTCAATCCCCTTTGAATTCATGGAAAGCCTTGTCAAGAAAGTTGGGTACAAACAAGACTAGACTGCAAAGACTGGAATAAATACCTAACTCTTCAATGCCCAGACATCAATGAACATCCGAAAGCATCAGGGACACACAAGGAAACATGACTTCACCAAATGGACTAAATAAGGCACTAGTGACCAATCTTGGAGTGATGAAGGTATTCCTTTCAGATAGGAAATTCAAAATAGCTGTCTGGAGGAAACTCAATGAACATCAAGAAAACAAGAGAAGGAATTCAGAATTCTATCAGAGAAATTTAACTAAGAGATTAAAATTTTAAAAATCAAGTAGAAATTCTGGAACTGAAAAATTCAAATGACAAACTGAAAAATCATCAAAGAATCTCAACAGCAGAACTGATCAAGCAGAAGGAAAAACTGATGAGCTCAACAACAGGCTATATGGAAATACACAGTCGGGGGAAAAATAAGAAAGAATAAAAAAGAATAAAGCATGGCTACGAGATCTGGAAAATAACCTCAAAAGGGCAAATCTAAGAATTATTGGCCTTAAAGAGGATGTAAAGACAGACAGTGCAATAGAAAGTTTAGTTACAGAGAACTCTTCAAACCTACAGTATGAATATCCAAGTATGAAAAGATCACAGAACACCAAGAAGATTTAACCCAAATACAACTACCTCAAGGTATATAATTATCAAACTCAAAGGAGAAGGATAAAGAAAGGATCCTAAAAGCAGCAAGAGAAAATATACAAATAACATATAAAGGAGCTCTGACATTTCTGACAGCAGAATTCCTACTGGACACCTCATAGGCCAGGAGGAAATGGAATGACCCATTCAAAATGCTGAAGGAAAAAACTGTTCCAACCTAGAATATTATATCCAGCAAAATTATCCTTCAAACATGAAGGAGAGATAAAGACTTCCCCAGACAAACAAAAGCTGATGGATTTTGTAGCACTAGATGTGCCTTACAAAAAATGCTAAAGAGAGGTCTTCAATCTGGAAGAATGTTTATGAGCAACAAGAAATCATCTGACAGAATAAAATTCACTAGTGATAATAAGTACATAAAAAATACAGAATACTCTAACACTGTAATTGTTGTATATAAATCATGCATATTTTAGTAGACTAAAAGAAAAACCCATCAAAAATAATAACTAAAATAACTTTTAAAGAGAAAGCAATAGCAAACCAAACTCAAAATTAGAAGAAAAGAAAGATCAGAGCAAAAATTATTAAAATTGAGATTAAAAAAATACAAAAGATCAACCAAACAAAAAAACTGGATTTTTTTGTTTTTTGTTTTTAACAGATGGTTCATCACTATGTTGCCCAAGCTAGAATACAGTGGCTATTCACAGGTGTGATCATAGTGCACTGAAGCCTCAAACTCCTAGTCTCGGCTGATCCAATTCTCCTGCCTCAGCCTCCTGTGTAGCTTGGACTACAGATGTGTGCCACTGCATCTGGCTAATTGGTTTTTTGAAAAGATAAACAAAATTGAAAAACTTTTAGCCAAGGTAAGAAAAAAAGAGACAAGACCCAATTAAATAAAAGCAGAGATGAAAAAGGGGACATTACAACTGATATCACAGAAATTCAAAGGATCATTAGAGACTATTAGGAGAAACAATATCCCAATAAATTGGAAAACCTAGAAGAAATGGATCAATTCCTAGAAATATACACCCAACCAAGAGTGAAGCATGAAGAAATCCAAATAACAATAGACCAATAACAAGTAATGAGATAAGAGCAGTAATAAAAAGTCTCCCATCAAAGAAAAGCCCAGGACCTGATGGCTTCACTGCTGAATTCTGCTAAACATTTAAAAAAGTAATACCAACTCTACTCAAATGATTCCAATAAATCAAGGAGATGGGAATACTTCCAAACTCATTTTCTGAAGCCAGTATTACCCTGATATTAAAACCAGACAAAAAAACATCAGGAAGGAAGGAAGGAAGGAAGGGAGGGAAGGACGGAGGGAGGGAGGGAGGAAGGGATGGAAGGAGGAAGGAAACAAACTAACTACAGGCCAATATTACTGATAAATAGAAATGCAAAAATCCTCAACAAAATACTAGCAATCTGAATTAAACAATGCAATAAAAAGATCATTCATTATGTTCAAGTGGGATTCATCCCAGGAATGGAAGGATAGTTCAACATGGGCAAATCAATCAATGGTAGATATCATATCAACAGAATAAAAGACAAAAACTATATGATCATTTCAATACATGCTGGAAAAGCATTCAATAAAATTCAACATCTCTTCATGATAAAAACTCTTGACAAACAGTATAGAAGGAACATACCTCAACATGATCAAGGCCATATATGACAAACTCACAGCTAGTATTATACTGAATGGGGAAAAACTGAAAGCTTTTCCTCTAAGATCTGTAACAAGGTAAGGATGTCTACTTCCACTTTTATTCAAAATAAAACTAGAAGTTCTAGCCAGAGCAATTAGATAAGAGAAATAATAAAGGACATCCAAATTGGAAAAGAAGAAGTCAAATTATTCTTATTAGCAAATGATATGATCTTGTATTTAGAAAAACCTAAACACTCTACCAGAAAACCTTTGGAACCGATAAACAAATTCAGTAAAGTTAAGGGATACAAAAATCAACATACAAAAATCAGTAGCATTTCTATACCAATGGCAAACAATATGACAAAGAAATTAAGAAAGTAATTCCATTTACAAGTGCTACAAATAAAATAAAATACCTAGGAATAAACTTAACCAAAGAAGCAGAAGATCTCTACAATTAAAACTATAAAACAGGCTGGGTGCAATGATTTATGCCTATAATTCCAGCCCTTTAGGAGACTGAGGCAGGTGGATAGTCTGAGGCAGGTGGATAGCCTGGGCAACATGGTGAAACCCCTTCTCTGCAAACAAATATAAAAATTAGCCAAGCATGACACATGTCTGTAGTCCCAGCTCTTCGGGAGGCTGAGGTGGGAGGATCACTTGAGCCTAGGAGGCAGAGGCTGCAGTGAGCCATGATTGTGCCACTGCACTCCAACCTGGGTGACAGAGTGAGACCCCATCTTGAAACGAAAAAACGAAAACACAACCCTATAAAACAGTGATGAAGGCCAGACGTTGTAGCTCATGCCTGTAATCCCAGCACTTTGGGAGGATGAGGCAGGCAGATTACCTAAGGTCAGGAGTTCGAGACCAGCCTGGCCAATATGGCAGAACCCCATCTCTACTAAAAACACAAAAATTATCCGGGTGTGGTGGTGGGCACCTGCAATCCCAGCTACTTGGAAGGCTGAGGCAGGGAGAATCACTTGAACCTGGGAGGCAGAGGCTGCAGTGAGCCAAGATCATGCCATTGGACTCCAGCCGGGGTGAGAGAGCAAGACTCTACCACAAAACAAAACAAAACAAAACAGTGATGAAAATAAGTTGAAGAGGACACACAAAAATGGAAAGATATTCCATGTTCATGGATTGGACTAATCAATATTGCTTAAATGTTTAAATAAAAATTATCCAAGCATGATGCATGTCTGTAGCTGACATGCATTTAGATATGATGCAGGTTTAGACATGACGCATGTCTAAAGCAATCTACAGATTCAATACAATCACTATTAGAATATCAATGAAATTCTTCACAGAGATAGAACAAAATCTTAAAATTTATATGGAGTCACAAAAGACCCAGAATAGCCAGAGCAATCTTGAACAAGAAGAACAAAGCTGGAAGCATCACATTACCTGACTTCAAATTATAATACAAAGCTATAGATACCAAAACAGCATGGTATTAACATAGAAACAGACATATAGACAAAGGAAAAAGAATAGAGAACCCAGAAATAAATTCATACATTCACAGTGAACTCAGTTTTGACTAAGGTGCCAGGAACATATATTGGAGAAAGGACAGTCTCTTCATAAATGATGCTGGGAAAACTTAATATCCATATGTCGAAGAATGAAGATAGACCCCTATCTCTTGCCTTATACAAAAATCAAATCAAAATAGATTAAAGACTTAAATCTAAGACCTGGAACAATGAAACTACTAGGAAAAAACATTGGGGAAAAACCCTAGGTCACTGGCGTGCACAAAGATTTCTTGCATAAGATCTCAGAAGTATAGGCAACCAAACCATTTTTGTTCATAGCAAAATTGAACAAATAGGATCACATCAAGCTAGAAAGCTTCTGCATAGGAAAGGAAACAACAAAAAGACAACCCACAGAATGGGAGAAATATTTGTAAACTATCCATCTGATGGATTAATAACCAGAATATATAAGGAACACAAACAACTTAAGAGGAAAAAAACAAATAATCCCATTAAAAAGCGGGCAAAGGATCTGAATAGACATTTCTCAAAGGAAGACATACAAATGGCCAAGAAGTATATAAAAAATGCTCAAAATCACTAATCATCAGATAAATTTAAAGCTACAATGAAATATCATCTCACCCTAGTTAAAATGACTTGTATAAAAAAGAAAGGCAATCATAAATGTTGGTGAGGATAAGAAGAAAGGGGAACCCTTGTATACTGTTGGTGGGAATGTAAATTACTACAGCCACTATGGAGAATAGTATGGAGGTTTCTCAAAAAAAATAAAAATGGAACTACCATATGATTCAGCAATCCCACTGCTAGGTATCTATCCAAAACAAAGGAAATCAGTGTATCAAAGAGATATCTTCACTCCTATGTTTATGGCAGCACTATTCACCATAGCCAAGTTA